>NC_000012.12:32123589-32276284 GCF_000001405.40 Homo sapiens | reverse complement strand
TTCCTGCTGAATTGGGGCATAGTAGGTGTTGTGTAGTTGAGATTTCCTCCGGAAGGGTGCCTTCCATGTCATTAACATTGGAGCATGGGCTAGCAGGCCGGTCCAGGGGTCTGCGGTGGATCTTAGTCATGGACTGCATCTGGGGCTCCATTTGAAGAACCATTTGTAGTTTTACAGTTTCAATTCTGGAAGAGACAAACGCTTCGGAGGTCCCTTCATGGTCGCCAAAATGTTACCGGGGATCCTTGCTCACAGAGCTCCCAAAATGGTGGCAAGCCGCTTCCAAGATGGTGGTGGGCGGCTTCCAAGATGGTGGCAAGCCTCGTGTTCTCTGACCTGGGGTTCTTGGCCTCACGGATTCCAAGGAATGGAATCTTGGGCCATGCGATGAGCTATTAGAAGCTGTGGGTCATGGAAGAGAACCGTGGAACCCAGTGACTAGTGTTCAGCTCGATTAGGACGAACCCAGGCACTTAGCCGTGCAGGAACAATGGCAAGCTTTTAGCACAATCGGGAGTGGCAATGGGAGTCTCGCTGGATCAGGAGCACAGCGGACACCCTGCCGGATCTGGAGGGATGGGAGTCAGCGGCGATGGGAATCAGCGGCGGGTCTGCGACAGTGGCAAACAGCAGTGGTGGACGGCAAGCGAAAGCTCAGCTCCAGCCGTAACAAACATGGACCAGAAGAGTGCAGTAGCAAGATTTAATAGAGTGAAAACAGAGCTCCCATACAAAGGGAGGGGACCCAAAGGGGGTTGCCCCATTTGAAGATTCTTTGAAAAAACTAACAGCAGGCAGATATGACTCTAACTCATCATATGAACAAGTTAGGATGAGGAGATACTGATTCCAGACCCAGAAATTATAAAAATATAGACGGTGACTAAAAAAAGTCTCACTCCCATCTTGTTCCACATCAGTCTACTTCCCATCCTCACTCCCAAACCACTGTTCCTAGTATCTTATCTATCCCGCCAGGGTTCCTTTATACCTTACTTATTTTCAAACTTTATTTATAGAGCCAGCTTATGCCTACATGAAAACCAACATAGTTAGCATAATTTTATAATGAACGAATCACTACAAAGGTATTTTATTTATACGTGTAATTTACAACTTGATTTGCAAATCAAGGGATTAAAAGTTAATCCCTCAGGGGACTGAAATATGAGTGTGTGTATATATCATATATCTAATGATAAACATATAGATCACTAGAATGTGTATCTCATATGGCGATCTTCAATTACAAGCATGAATTTATTTTTAATAAGCACTTACACAATGTTTACAATGTGCCAAGACTATTACAAGCACATTGTTTTAGAAATATAAAACTCTTTTAACCTTTTAGCCTACATAGCAATCCTGTGAGTTGGACACCATTATTAGTCCCATTTTACAGCTTGGCCAACTGAGGCAAGGGAGGTTATGTAATAATTTGCCAAAAGTTTTAGAATAAAATAAGTGGTATCAGGAGTCAAACTCAGACTGTCTAGTTCTAGAACATATGTTCTTAACCACTATGCTTTGCTACTTCTAAAAATGCCTTATTAACGTGATTTGTTGTTGGAATGGGGTGGCTAATGCTAATCAGATTATTGTTATCTCTGTCTTTAGGTCATAGTTTCCCTTTCTGTGTAAAATAACAAATTAATATAAATATAAATATAAACGCCTCAGTAAAGTGGCCTCAGATTATGATTTAGTGGATACTATTTCTGAAAAATATATTGCTTTATTATTTTCAAGATGACTTCCTACAAATTCTTCAGAACTGATTCTGGAGCTAATGGTAGCAATAGCTGCTCACATTTTGAATATTCATTGCCTTTTAAATAACTTTCATAAGTAGAAAACCTGGTTACTGAAACAGAGCAATATCTGTGACCCTGACTATCAAAATGTGTTTCCAGAATCTTTCCTGTTCTGTATTCCATGACTGTGAGTACAATAGGGTAACTAATATAGAATTTCAGTTCTGATGTTCTTATTAAAGTTACAGACTTCGAGGTATTGATCTGTCTTAAGTTGGCTGCCACGCTGATTTTCTACAATCATATTAGAAGTCTAGAAAACTCAAAGATGTGTTTTTAAGTAACTATATGTTAAATGTGATCAATTTTTTTCTACCTCTTACAATCTACATTAAAGTGTCGAAAAGAACTCTTCTTACCAAGGTCCCCCACGAAACCCTGCCTTCAAGCCTAAAAGAGCCTGAAGGCTGAAGAACTGGACTGCTGGTCCCGGATAAAGCCTGCCCTTTCTCAGCTGATTCTCTCTGAATAATGCCCACCTGCACACTGGGGGAAGAGGGTGGAGCCAAGAGAAGTTTACGCTTGTTCAGCGGGGAGGAGCCTGGCCTCTTCAGTTCCTGTGTGGTGGCCTGGTGTTCAGTCTGTGAGGTGGAGGGCCTGTTGGCAAGACTCCCTCTCGCTTTGCTGAGAGTTCTTTTTCCTTTTTCCTTTTCACCCAATAAATTCTGCCCCTCACCCTTCTATGTGTCCCTGAGCCTAATCTTTTCCGGTTGTGTGACAAGAACCCGGTTTTAGCTGAACTAAGGAGAAAGTTCTGCAACAATGATAAGGATGAAATGGACTAGCTAGTGATTTCTACTATGTTATTTAAAGTCTGAAACTGCCTTGAGGCACCCTCTACTAGCTGATCATTATTACTGAAATTTAGACACCGCTTGGTACGTGGTTTAATCATCCAGTTTCAGCAATGTGACGGGGGTATAATGGCTTTTCTGTACACTTGTATCTTGGCTTCCCTGAAAACAGATATCATGCATGCATCTTGGTGGTTCACACCCAAACACAGAGCACATCCAGTGAGCCTGAGGAAAGGCGCTGCTTGCAGGAGTCTCAGCCCCCTCTGTGTCTGCTGGTACTTGCTTTCTCCCGCTGTACCTTATCCTCCAGTTTATACTCTACCAGTATACCCTTTGGAATCTTGTGAGTCTTTTCAATGATCTGACTCTGTGTCACTACTCCAATTTCAGTAAAAGCAAACAAAAACAGAAATCGAGGCTATGAGAGTAGAGTGCAATAATGATGAATTCTGGCAGCCACCCAGGAAGACACCATTGAAAAGACAAGGTCCTGCCTCCCTTACGTCTTGCACACTCATGATGCTGAGCCTGTCAGTGACCAAAAATCAGACTACACAAGTCAGCCAAAAGTGAAACAGAGGTGTCAAGCATATGAACTGCATCTGAAAGTTTTTGCCTTCCTAAGAATATTCTTAGGCCTCTTCTTCACACACTCCAGAGCAATGAGAAACATTTGGAATTGAATTTTCCTATAAACTATATCTTTGCAGATAGACTTTTAAAACCAAATAAAGTCCTGTGGGTTTTTCTTTTCTTTCTTTTATACGAACATAACAACTGCTTCACTGTCATTACTTATTTTCCAATCTAAACCCTCCACAAGAGTCTAGAACACCATGTGACTCAAAATAAACTTTTCAATCAATTACAAGGCCATTGAAATGGAAAATCTTGATTTTTAAAAATGTTTTAATATGTTTCCTTAACCACATTGTGGCAGGCCAGGTCTCACTAGTAGCTGAGATTACAGGTGCACGTCACCACGCCCAGCTAACTTTTTGGTATTTTTAGTAGAGACAGGGTTTCACCATGTTGGCCAGACTGGAATAAACAAGTTTTATTGTCAGTCTGAAGAAATTCCCCAGGCCTCCACACACAAGTTTATTGGAGGTCTGAAGGAACTCCCCAAACCTCTGTGATTTAGCAGGAGACAAGATAAGGGTAATCACCCTAGCACCTGGACCCATTTAGATTAAGTAAATTTACTGAGGCTCCAGAGAAAGGTCTTCAGGACTCAGATCTTAGTTATAGATTAAAAGAAGTTAATCACTTATGTCTTTAGATGAATGCACACTTATATGTAGACATACAGCTTGGAAGGTTTATAAGCTCTGGAAAACTTTGTAATTTTGAGTTGGTGTGGTGACAATTTCTAGGCCTTCTCCCTGTAACCAAATGCAAAAATAAAACCTCTCTTCCCCAGTTTGTCTGCATCTCATTATTGGGCCAGGAGAAGTAGCAGCCTGACCCTCAGTTTTGTCCAGGAGCAACATGTATATGATTTATACATTGAAAAGAAATTTCTCAGTCATAAAAGAAATAGTGAAAGAACATTATGATTTAACAATATATAACTAATATGTAATATTAGTGGTTGGGAATTAAATATGGCATAAGTAGTTAAATAAAAAGTAACTTGTAGTACATGTTTTACTACAATAATGGGTAAACTGAGGCCCAGAGAGATTAAGGAAACAGGTAGATCATAGAGCTAAGAAATGAGAGATGTAGGTTTTGACCCAGGAACCCTTAAGTATGAGCTCCTTTCACTAAGACACCTTGACATTGTCTCTTGGCTTCAGGCAGTAAGTAAAAGAAAAACAGATGGAAAGGAAACAATAAAATATGCAAAGAGAAAATGAAGAATTCTCTGAAAATTATCAACTTTAAATCGAGATCCAGGCAATAGGATTAAAATACTGAGCACAAAGTTTGAGGAGGGTCACCCAGGAGGACTCCAAAAAGATGGGGTTAGTGCTCTGAAGCAGCGAGGTTTGAGGATTGTTTATACAGGCACGGTATGGGGAAGCTTAACAGGATGACAGCATTTTCCACACAAGGTTAGTGCACAGTCGCAGCAATCTGACTGGTTTTAGGCAGTGATTCCTTGGGGGAAGGGAGTATTTAACATTCCACATTAAGGATGTAATAATCAAGGGATCTTTTATCTCAAGTGCTATCTGGTCTGGGCCAGGAACAATAAAATAGGAAGGAAGTTAATCTATAACAAAAGGTCAGTAATTAAGGTCATGGTCTGTCACTCCCCACTCAGTCTCCCAGTCAACCTTCTTCAGGGCCTAACATCTTTCAGAAGCCCCAAATAGACGAACTGTGCATTTTCTTTCACAAAATCAAAGAGATAAGCGCCTCATTTTGGGGGCCTCCAAACTGGGGAGAGGGCTGGAAGCACTGTGGAAACAGAACTAAGGGGCCATAGCCTCCAGCTCTGAGCGAAGTCTCATCTGGTTCAAAGAAAGGACACTAATTCAGGGAGAAAATGGAGTGTTTGTAGGATGAGAACATGCTTTCTTTCCTTGGAGACTAAGTTCCACATAGGGGCTCCAAGTCTGGCTCCCTTCCCCCAGCCCTGGGAAAGAATTTTGGAAAGTGTGAGCATCTTCTTTTGGTGCCTAATTGCCTGGGGGTCATACAGCCTGGAGCTGCTCTGTTGAGGACAGCGCATGGTGGCTTCCGGCTGGCCAGCGGCTGCTCTCTATGTTGTTCCTTGAAGACCCCACTGAACACACTTCACACACAGGGTCCCTTTCAGTTTGCAGAGAAGAGAAGCCTTTATACGGAGCAAGGTCCCATCAGAAGGCCTTTCAAAGATATACAAAGGCCAATGATGTATTTTTGCCTGCCCTGAATTTCAATTAGCATCTTAGGCAATAAACCTGAAAATGACTAATTGAGAAAATGTCTGTGTTTAGTTTGTGGGTCAAGGCCAATGAAATATTATAAAATACATATTCAGAATCAATACCAGCCAAATGAATTCAGTGTGTATGGGTGGTGTTTCACTTTTTAAAAAATCTTATCATAGTTTTACGTAAAAACTTGTAATAATTGCCTTTTTGTCTTACCTGTTTAACATTTTAGTGACTTGAATAATGAGATTAAAACAAGTTCTTATTCACCATTTAATTAATCAAAGTATGTGTGAGATATCTTTAATTCTTCAGTGGTACCTCACTTAATCAGTTCCACCCATAACAAACTTTTTCTTCTTTTACTTGTTTTTATTAGGACCTGGTGTCTACAACAACGAAACTTTTATACTTTCAGTAAAGCTAACATTCTCCAGAAAAAATGAAACTGATCGACTTTTAAAATGTGAATTTTCCAGTAAGCCAAGACTGCTTTTTGTAAAGAATCAGCTATAATACGAATATAGTACCATTAGATTCAGATTTTGGAGATACATCTTATTATATTATTTTATTACTATTCATATACCATATTAAAATGTTTTCTTCATCATTATTTTAGTCTCTCTCATTAACAGATAGAGAAGATAAAACTAAATAATAATAATTTTTTTTTTTTTTTTTAGAGGGAGTCTGGCTTTGTCGCTCAGGCTGGAGAGCAGTGGTGCCATCTTGGCTCACTGCAACATCCGCCTCCTGGGTTCAGCAATTCTCCTGCCTCGGCCTCCCGAGTAGCTGGGACTATAGGTACGTGCCACCACGCCTGGCTAATTTTTTTATTGTTAGTAGAGATGGGGTTTTGCTACGTTGGCCAGGCTGGGCCCAAACTCATGTGATCTGTCTACCTCGGCCTTCCAAAGTGCTGGGATTACAAGCGTGAGCCACCCTGCTCAGCCCGATATGATAATTGTGAATGATCATATGTGTGGGACCCGAGATATTACCAGGCCAAAACAAACCAATTTTAAGCAAACATAAAATTAAGCCATATTTTAAAAACTGAAAGCAACAATTTTAGCATATATTCCTAATGGGTGATCGACCAGTGTCTCAGCCATCAGGTTTATAATGGCATCAGAAAGCAAGTTATAACCCAGAGAACTTAAAATTTCATCTATAAAACTGTTGGGAATACTACAATGATTCCTTAAATATTTACCTATCTTTTTGATTTTAGCATTTCTTACTAAAATCATTTCTCTAATTCTCTTCCTTTTGGATAAAAGCAAATTTGCAAGTTGTTAAGTACAGACTAGTAAAAATGCTTTTTTGCATATGGAGAATTACTGTTAAAGTTCTCACTTAATAGTTCCTATACAGTACTTAGGCCTGAGGAAGAATATGCTCTAAGTTTTCACAATGTAAGAAAGTAATTCACATTAAAGAAACAAAACTCTATCATCAAAGTTTTGGAGGACAATATTCATATTACTTTAATAAAAATCACTGAAACATTTATTTTAAGTTCAAAATATTCATGTGCCTATTTCCAATATTATCTTTTAAACAAATCTATCTTTCTAACTTGTCATTCAGTATTAATATATACTACTATTTAAATCTGATGACATTAATTCTTGGGAAAATAAAAAAAAAATAATGCAGCTGTGGGCACATTATTGACAACAAAGTTTCTCAAAATGTGGTCCCAGAACCAGCAGTATCAACATCACATGGGAACTTGGAAAAAAGCAAATTCTCAAGTCCCATCCCAGACCTACAAATCAAAAACTTCAGCAATCTGTATTAAACTCCTCTGATTCACACTACAGTTTGACAAGTAGTCCAAAGAAGAAAAATCCACTTGCAACGGTTGAAGCTCATCCAGAAAACAGATGCTCATAAGTAGGTTGGCTTATGAGCTATTCAATGTCCAGAAATTAGATACAATAATAATTATTAACTTTTTGTCAATGGGTGAAAATTCCACCTTATTTTATTTTCATTTCATTTATTTATTTTTATTGTCACCCAGGCTGGAGTGCAGTGGCGCGATCTTGGCTCACTGCAACCTCCGCCTCCTGGGTTCAAGTGATTCTTCTGCCTCAGCCTCCCAAGTAGCTGGGATTACAGGCACTCACCACCTCACCTGGCTAATTTTTGTATTTTTAGTAGAGACGGGGTTTCGCCATGTTGGCTAAGCTGGTCTTGAATTCCTGACCTCAAGTGATCCACCTGCCTTGGCCTCCCAAAGCGCTAAGATTACAGGCATGAGCGACCGTGCCCAGCTCAAAATTCCATCTTATTTTTACAAGCTTCTAATTTCTTGCTTGCTGTGGCACTGACTTTTGAATGAAGTTGCTTATCCAATGATGTATTTCTTTTTTACGATGGGCAGTTGAACATGGACCAATGACGTATTTTTTATTTTGTTTTCTCCGAGAGAAGTTGCACATCTGTTCATATCTGGGGCTCAGTGTCCATAGTACCCTGATGGGCAGGAATGCAGGCACTCTCCATCCTGGCGCATCCCTTCTCTTCGAAGGAAGAAAAACAACTTCTGTTGACATTGGTTGTACTCATTGTCCTTTGAACAAGACAAACAACCCTTGCAAATGGGATGTGATACATAACTAGCTCAAACTGGACTTGTCAAACTGTCCAGCAATTAAAAATAAATAATGGTAAATAAAAATAAATAGGATAGGCTGGGTGCAGTGGCTCACACCTGTAATCCCAGTGCTTTGGGACACTGAGGTGGGAGGAAGGCCAGGAGTTTGAGGCCAGTCTGGGCTACACAGTAAGACACCATTTCTTCAAAAAAAACACTTTTTAAATTAGCCAGAAGTGATGGCCCATGCCTGTAGTCCCAGTGACTCAGGAGGCTGCGGCGGATCACTTGAGCCCAGGAGTTAGAGGGTGTAGTGAGCCATGATTGTGCCACTGCACTCCAGCCTGGGCAACAGAGTTAGACCCTGTCTCTAAAAAAACTTATTTTAAAAAGGATAGTCAGACAATGAAACAAAATAGAGAGCCTAGAAACAGATTCACTGGTAATAAAAGTTAATTAACAACAAAAATGTCATTGCAGATCAGTGGGGGAAAGATGGGTTAGAAGAAAATATACCAGAACATATTTATCACTTTGCAGCAGAGAATTTCTTAAATAAGAAACAAAAAAATAGCTTAATAAGGATTGATAAATTTAACTACATTAAAATTCCATACTTCTGTTCATTCAAACATCATTTACAATAAAGTAAATGAAAAGACCAGCCTCTAACTAGGAATAGATATTTCTCACACATATACTAATTGACAAAGATTTATATTTAGTATGGATTCACCCAGCAACTATTTACTGAGTACTTGTTCTCTGCCACACACTATTATAAGTGCTAGGGATACAGTAGTAATTAAAATACAAAACAAAAAAACTACAAAGATCTCTGCTTTCTTGAACTCACAAGAAATAGTTTAAAAGAGACCTAATCAATAAGTAAATTATGTAGTTTATTTAATTACAGTTCATTGTATACACTGTGTACATATGCAGGGATCCAGAAGGAGAAAGTTTGAAAGGCTAGGGATAAGATGTCTAGGAAAGAGGCAAATGGATAGACACATAGTAGTATCAGGTGTGTGATCTTTCGATTGCATGGTAACACCTATCAGAGAGCATTTACCAAGGAAGAGACACTAAACAATGAGATAGACAGAATGATGTGCATGACATGTCAGCCTCTGTCATCAGCCACTCCTGTGCTGGCACCATGGAACCATGAGCGTAATGGGGACTGTCAGTACATAACAGAAGTCAAACCTCAGAGCCAGGGTTCTGGGGGCAGGGCTCTAATTCCCACAAGGAGGAATGGTTTCTTACTAGAATGTGACTGAGGTATTATTCATTAACTTCGTGCTCATTCTAAATTTTTTTTTTTTTTTTGAGACAGAGTCTCATTCTATTGCCCAGGCTAGAGTGCGGTGACGTGATCTTGGCTCACTGCAACCTCCATCTCCTGGGTTCAAGTGATTCTTCTGCCTCAGCCTCCCGAGTAGCTGGGATTATAGGCATGCACCACCACGCCTGGCTATTTTTTTATATTTTTGGTAGAGACAGGGTTTCACCATGTTGGCCAGGCTGGTCTCGAACTCCTGACCTCAAGTGATCCACCCGCCTTGGCCTCCCAAAGTGCTGGGGCTCATTCTAAATTCTATCTTAGCTGTCATTATCTTCCATTTGAGACCATGCATTTTGCCAAAATAACTTTTAGATGATGCGGTTTAAGATGATTTTTTGGCAGTTTGCTTTTAGATGATGTTGTGGCAGCTCACATGAAGGAGTTTCCAAGAGTTAGGTCCTAATTAAAGAGGAAATGAATTTTTAGAATGTGGCCTGTTATCATATTTCCAGCACTATTACTGATAGTCGCTATATTGAAAAGGAAAGCCCCTGTTACATAATTGACAATGACCACATTTTAGTAAAATTTGAAATTTCCAGAAAATATAATTTCTAGTGTTTCTAAGACAAGAAAATTCTCCAGTAGATACAATGCATCTTTCTGATGAAATGACTCCCGTTCCCCTCCTTCCACCATTGCTGCAGGTTTCTATTAAAATAGACAGTCTATGTATGATAGAACTACAGGGCTATGACCTAGGAAGAGGAAGTGACTGCACAGAAATGACCTAAATAGAAATCGTGTCTGTGCTTAGATGAGGAAGTCTGTATATATCACTATTAAAAGTTTAAACAAATTTGTGAGAAGCAATGAAAGTCTCTATAGACTATGGATATAAAAATGGATGCACAAATAAATGGAGAGAGATGACACGCTTATTCATCATGCTGCCTAACAAGCCGTGAGACAGATGTGTAATTGGGGCAGAGAACAGTGTACATTCTTTATACTTTAGAATTCTCTTCTCCATTCTAATTTATGTAAGCTGGAAGTGAAGATAGAAGAGTCTGTTCTTGAGTTAAACTGCCGACCAAGACTGAAAATTTGTCCAGCAGAAGCTCTTCAACACAGAAAAATTATACTGTAATTTTCTTTTCTTTTTGTCTTTTTTTTTTTTTTTAAATAGGATCTCGCTGTGTCACCTAGGCTGAATGCAGTGGCACAATTATAGCTCACTGTAACCGCGAACTCTTGGGCTCAAGGGATTGATCATCCTGCCTCAGCTTCCCAAGTAGCTGAGACTAGAGGCATGCGACACTGTGCCTAATTTTTACTTTTTTTTTTTTTTTTTCTGTAGAAACGGGGTCTCACTATGTTTCCCAGGCTGATCTTAAAATCTTGGCCTCAAGGGATCCTCCCGCCTCAGCCTCCCAAAGTTCTGGGATTACAGGTGTGAGCCATCGTGCCCAACCCTGTAATTCTTAACAAAAGAACCAACTGAATTGATGTGAAAGTCTTAGTTTATAGTTACCTTATACATTTTTCTCCTTTAACCAAGACATTCGCATGGGAACTGCTTCTAGCCATGATGAAGTAAGAAAGGACTTAGCTTTTTATTGTGAGCAATTAGAGAACTGAACGAAGTACAGGAAGCAGCTGTTTTCAGACTGAACACGAGGCCTTGTAAGACTAATCTCTGTTAGAGGGGAAACAGATGGGATGAGCATGAGAAACACCTGGGCCTTCTGCTTGGAGGCAATGTATAAACTGCAAGTGCAAGAAGGGGAAACCCAGAGACCCCAGAGGCCTCGTGGAGGTAAGGAGAGGGGGCTCTGAGTTCAGAAGGCTAAGGCAGCTGGAAGTTGCAGAGTAGAATTCTGGAAAGGAGCGACCAGCACAGAAAAATAACTCCAGGAATCTGCATAAGGATTTGCTTAAGCCCTTTCTGTGTACAAGGTCGCACATGCCTATTCTGCAAAACATCACGCAAAATGCAGCAGTTACAAAGAAACAGGACAAGGTCTCTGCCTCTTAGGGGCTAAAATATAGTGAAGAATTTCACACTGGTAATAATTTCCTTTTTGCTCTGACATCTTAAAAATTCTATTTAGGCTGGGCATGGTGGCTCACACCTGTAATCCCAGCATTTTGGGAGGCCAAGGTAGGTGGATCACTTGAGGTTAGGAGTTTGAGACCAGCCTGGCCAACAATGGTGAAACCCCATCTCTACTAAAAATACAAAAATTAGGAGGGTGTGGTGGCACGTGCCTGTAGTCCCAGCTACTTGGGAGGCTGAGGCAGGAGAATTGCTTGGACCCAGGAGGCAGAGGTTGCAGTGAGCTGACATCATGCCACTGCACTCCAGCCTGGGCGACACAGCAAGACACTGTCTTAAAAAAAAAATTCTATTTAATTTCTAAAAACATTTTTTACTGTAACAAATGTTAGAATGTTATCAATTCTATATGTATTTTTTATGGAGAAGGTATTGTAAACATATAGCCAATCATTCATTCCTTTTAGTAGTTCAACAAATACTCACTGAGTGCACACAATATGCAAGAAATTGTGTAGATGCCGGGATTTTAAAAAGGATAGGATCTTGCCTCTTCCTCAGAGTTTATAATTTAGTTGAGGAGATATACTTAAGAGCTAATAACAATATTTAAGATTTATTGAATCCGTACATGCAAGTAATGTTCTAAGTATTTAGTACATAATAATTCATTTACTCCTCACAACAGCATTGTGAGATAGGTATTAATATCACAATTTTATAGACAAATAAATTGAAGCACACAGAGATTATGTAAATTTGCTTAATGATTTGCATTCTGTAAGTGGCAGAGCCAGGATCTGAAGCCTTGCAATCTGACTCTAAAACAGCTGCTATTAAATATTAGTGTATGGTGCTTTAAAAAATGAACTACTCTACTTGCAGATGTTTTGTGGTAAAAAAAATTTTAAAGAATTTTTTAATGAACTACTACTCATCAAGCATTTATTGGAGGCCCTACCCATGCAAAGCACTCTGCTAGACAGCAAGACTTAAATACGTGTAGAACAATCCCTCGCTTCAAGAAAACTATAGTCCGCATATGATTAACTTAAAATGATTATTATGGATTAATATTTGAAAACATCCATAATATATCACATGACTCCTGCAGGAAAAATATGCATTCTGAGTCTCAATTTACTTATGAATGAACTTTTGGAGTACCTTATTGCCAGGTGAGAACTGGCTCTATGATGTGTTGCAAATAATTATTTAGCATGCATTCTTTTATTTGTTAATACTTGAAACATGTTCTCACATTCTTTTCTGTAATACTTTTTTTTTTTTTTTCTTTTTGGGATGGAGTCTCACTGTCACCCAGGCTGGAGTGCAGTGGCGTGATCTTGGCTCACTGCAACCTCTGCCTCCCGGGCTCAACCAGTTCTCTGCCTCAGCCTCCCGAGTAGCTGGGATTACAGGTGCCCACCACCACACCTGGCCAATTTTTGTATTTTTAGTACAGGCAGGGTTTCACCATCTTGGCGAGAGTGGTCTTGAACTCCTGACCTCGTGATCCACCCGCCTCGGCCTCCCAAAGTGCTGGGATTATAGGCGTGAGCCACCATGCCTGGCCTTTTCTTATTTTAAAATGTTCACCAATCATGAAATAGAAGTCCTTTGGTGCTGTATGGTCACCCATTGTCTCAGTTTCCTAGGGCTGCTGTTATAAATTACCACAAACTTAGTGGCTTTTTTGTTTGATTTTGAGACCGGCTCTCACTCTGTTGCCCAGGCTGGAGTGCAGTGGCCAGATCATAGCTCACTACAGCCTTGGCTGCCCGGGCTCAGGTGATCCTCTCTCCGAAGTAGCTGGGACTACAGGCGTGCACCACCACACCTGGCTAATTTTTTTTTTTTCAATAGAGACGAGATTTCACCATGTTGGCCAGGCTGGTCTCAAACTCCTGAGCTCAAGCGATCCGCCCACCTTGGCCTTTCAAAGTGCTGGGATTACAGGCGTGAGCCACCACTCACAGCCTAAATTTGGTGGTTTAAACAGCAGAGTTTGTTCTCTCACAGTTCTGGAGGCCAGACACTTGAAATTAAGGTGCTGGCAGGGGCCATGCACCTTCAGAAAGCTCCTGCTTCTGGTGCCCCTGGCATTCCTTGTCTTATGGCAGCAGAATTCCAATCTCTGTCTCTGTCTTCACATGGCCACCTTCTCCTTTGCTGTCTCTTATAAGGATACTTGTCATTGGCTTTAAGGCTCACTGTAACCCAGGAGATGGACTCATCTCTAGATCCTTATCTTAATTACATTGGCAAAGACCCTTATTCCAAATAAGTCACATTCTGAGGGACCAAGGGTTAGTATGTGTGGAGCTCTGTGGTGTATCTTTTGGGGGCCACTATGCAATCTACTATACTCACCTTATTTATTCTTATTTTTTGTCATTTTGCTAATGTGAAGGGTGGCAG
This sequence comes from Homo sapiens, assembly GCF_000001405.40. Taxonomy (NCBI): domain Eukaryota; kingdom Metazoa; phylum Chordata; class Mammalia; order Primates; family Hominidae; genus Homo; species Homo sapiens. Next base: position 32,262,421 of record NC_000012.12, on the reverse strand, counting down.
GTGTCTGAAAGGAACGGATGGTGAAGACATCAGGGAGGGACTTGCTAGTACCAGGGATGGGGCTGGAGAAGGAAATGGGAGACTGAATAGGGAAAGCAGGAAGTAGAAGACTCAGATTATAGAGTAGCCAAGGACTCTCCAATTTCAGGCTCAGATGTAGACACAAGATCAAGAGCAGAGTGGCCAAAAAAAGAGACAGAATTAAGAAAAAGCCAATGTCAAGGCAATGGGGAGGGTTTGAAGACAGTGCTCACGGATTCTGGTAATGAGCTGCATTTGCACTGTGATAAAAGTTTAAGGACATTTATAGGTAATGCACATAAAGCATATAACAAGCATAAATAACCTTGTTATATAAACCCACGACTTAAAATGGGGTCACGTTTAATAGTAACAACCCATATATTACTGGGTCTTGCCCCTGTCAGGTACTGTAACATCTCTATCCAAGTATGCACTCACCTCACCCCACAATTATTTCTGAGAGCTCCCATGAGTTGTCTTCCTGGACTCACAAACATGGCCTGTCAAGGCATTCGCCATTTCCTTCCTCTCCTGCTTCAACCCTTTCTGGTAAAATCCACTTTTGGGTCTCTGCTGCCCCCTAACTGGCACAAGGGGGCCTCACTACTGTCTCTGATGGCCCCAGTGAGCTCCTTTCTGCCAAGTTCCACCAGGCCTTGCTACCTGATTTTGCTGGGTACACCTGCTGCCAACACCACTTCAGTAGTAGAATCTCTTCCAGGAAACAACACCACAAAGGTGGTGGAATCCTCCAGCATCAAAATGGCACTGGTCCTCAAAATGCAATTCACTGAATTCCATGAAAATATGACAATACGGTTTTCCTTCCCTATAATATCACCTTTTTCCACTGGAGTTTATAGCAATGCTGCTTGTGTCTTAGTGGGCGGCAGACTTTCACTTATTGTCTTCACATCCCCATACACTGTCCCTACAATGTGATGCAGACATCCATTCTATATGCATACGAACACCAGTGAGAGCCCACAAAGACCTGAGCAGAAGGGCACATCCAACTGACCAACAAGCACTAAGCCGGAACAGCCCTAGGGCAATTGATGAATTTCTGGGTCAAGGGAAGAAAAGAAGAAATAGGAAGGGTAAAACACAGGAAGAGGTAATTACTATTCATCGTCTGTGCATCTAGGAGAAATTTTTGTAAGTTTTGGATGAGTTCCCTAGCACAGGGTCTGGCACATGGGTCATCCATAAGTATTTGTTAAATGATCAGTGAGATGGAGGAATCAATCCTGTGAAATCATGAGCTTGGGCCTCCTTCGGTAACAAAGTCCCCATGACCATCCTCATCATCTGAGAACTCTCCTTCCTGTACAACAGGACTCACTTTCATTTGCCCTTGATTGCCTAGCCCAGTCAGGAAACTGAGATTCTCCGAATCAGTGGCATATTCGCCTACAAGGCTATTTTTATTGAAATAGGAAATCAGACAAGGGAAAAGTCAGCGGGGAAACTGCCAGATATTCAAGCAGTTTAAGTTTTAAGACCCTTGGGCAAAACCAGTAATTGCCCAGGTTTAAGTGAAGGGAAGCAGATGCTGCTCACCCACACAGTGAATTGTCCTGAAACCCTAAAGGGCTTAGACAGGAATCCAGGCTAGAAAACTAACCAATAGCATTTAGAGGAGAAACAGACAAGTAACATGATAGACAACCATGTTTTCAACCTATGGGCTATGACCCAGAAGTGGTTTGTGAAATCAATTTAGGGAGTTGATTCCAGCATTAAAAAAAAAAAAAAAGTACTAGAATACAATAGGATAGAATAGAACAGACAATTTCAATGAGTAATGGTAAGCACTGTTTCCTTGATGTATTTTACTTTGGAATGTATATGTATATGCATATCTATACCTATATATGAATGCAGACACACACACATGCATGCGAGTCCTTGGTAGCAATGTAAAATGTATTGTTTATTGTGAGCTACGTAAAAAATGTTTGAAAGGCACTGCTGCAGAGAAGACAGGCAGATACAGTCATGGAAAACCAGAGAGTGCACATCCCACCAGAAGGGCAGCTACAACTCAGTTCCAAATGATTCTTGCTATAGCTTAGGATTTCCAAAAGAAGCCAGAAATCTGCATCTTTGTTAAATGTCATAATTTTTAAACGTTGGCAACCAGTTCAACAAAACAAAAGAAAAAAAGTGAGGCTGGGCGTGGTGGCTCATGCCTGCAATCCCAACACTTTGGGAGGCGGAGGCGGGTGGATCATCTGAGGTGGGGAGTTCGAGACCAGCCTGATCAACATGAAGAAATCCTGTCTCTACTAAAAATACAAAAATTAGCTGGGCGTGGTGGTGCATGCCTGTAATCCCAGCTACTTGGGAGGCTGAGGCAGGAGAATCACTTGAACCCGGGAGGCAGAGGTTGTGGTGAGCCAAGATCAAGCCACTGCATTCCAGCCTGGGCAATAAGAGCAAAACTCCATCTCAAAAAAAAAAAAAAAAAGTGTGTAGTGTATATATATGTGTTGACAACAGCCCACAGACACACAGCTTGTTTTCTCTATCCTACAGTAATACTCTTATAAGCCTACTCTGCAGAAAGATGTTACTGATCATTCTCTTGTTCACAAATATTGACTGCCTCTTCCTACAAGCCCTTGCCTTTAGATTATATAATCCACTCACTAACATCAGTCTTGGACATCTGATCTCCTTTGGCCAATGAAATGTGAGTGTAAGTGAAGTGTGTGCCACTTCTGAGCCAAAGTTCTAAGAACTTGTGTGTGGCCCATTGTGTTGCCATCTCTCCTTTCTCTCTGCCTGGAGACCAGCAATGCCCCATATTGAGGCTGTCCCTTCACAGAAGCTGCCAGAATGATGCTGATGTGGAGCAGACCCACTGACTGTTGGAAATAGACATGCAGCAAGAACAAGAGTTAAACCTTGCCTTAAGCTACTGAGATTCTCAAGTCATGTGTCACTGTTAGGATAACCAAGCCTCAGTCCACTGATACATTGCTTTACATAGATCGTAATCAATCTTATTAAGTAATTTTTCCAATAATCCTTTATTTATTTGTGGGTGGAGGATTACCCAGGTGCCAAGGCAAGAAACTGAAGGCACAAACTGTTTCAGTGTAATAAAGAAAACAGTTAGAATAGTTATAATACAAATTAGATATAGAGATGATCGTGGACATTATTAATCATTAACTTTTAATATTACTCTTTGTTGTGTTACTAATATAACCAAGGAATAACGGCGGGTATAGGGTCAGGTGCTGAAGGGACATTGTGAGAAGTGACCAAGAAGGCAAGAGGTGAGCCCTCTCTTACGCCCACATAAGGGCCACTTGAGGGCTCCCTGGTCAAGCGGTAATGCCAGTGCCTGGGAAAGCACCTGTTACTTAGCAGACTGTGAAAGGGAGTCTTCCTTTCCTTGGAGGACTCAGGGAACACTCTGCTCCACCAGCTTCTTGTGGGAGGTTGGATATTATCCATTCCTGCCCGCAGTCATCCGGAGGCTTAAACCCCTCCCTGTGGTGCTGTGCTTCAGTGGTCACGCTCCTTGTCCACTTTCATGTTCCTCCCGTACTCCTGGTTCCTCTTTGAAGTTGTTAGAAGATAGTGGTAGAAGAAATAGTGAAAGTCTTAAAGTCTTTGATCTTTCTGATAAGTGCATAGAAGAAAATGCTGATGTATGCTGTCTTCCCTCTCTGCTTCAGCTACCTATAAGGGAAGGGCCCCCTGTCCTATGATCACGTGACTTGCTTGACCTTATCAATCACTTGGATGACTCACCCTCCTTACCCTGCCCCGTTGTCTTGTATACGATAAATATCAGCACGCCCAACCATTCGGGGCCATTACTGGTCTCTGCGTCTTGGTGGTAGTGGTCCCCCGGGCCCAGCTGTCTTCTCTTTATCTCTTTGTCTTGTGTCTTTATTTCTTAGATCTCTCGTTTCCACACACGGAGAGAACACCCGCTAAGCCCCATAGGTCTGGACCCTATATTTATTACTTTAAAATAATAGCATATCAAATGACCAACACACATATTAAAAGGTCTTCGATTTCATTAGTCATAAGGAAAATACAAGTTGAAACCATAGTACAATATCACTATACACTCACTAGAGTGACTACAATGAAAATGCATCAAAATGAACTAAAATACTGAAATGAAAGTTTTGAAATGAAATATAAAATGAAAATGAAAGTAAGTATTGAAATGAAAAAATACCAAATGTTGGTGAAGCTGTGGAGTAAGCAAACCCTCACATATTGGGCCTGTCTACTGGTACAACCACTATGGAAAATTGTTTGGCAGTCTCTACTAAAGCTGAACAAGCATACTCTGCTGCAATTCTACCTCTAGGCGTATAATAAACAGAAATGCTCATATACATGCTCCAAAATACATGAACAAGGATGTTCATAGTAGCTCTTTCATAATAGCTAACTATCTGAAACTGAAACGTCAAATGACAACAGAATGGAAAAATTAAATGTAGTATAGTCACACAATGAAATATATGTATACACACATACATGTATCATCTATATATTATATATATTGAGAACAAAATGAACTGTGGCCACATGCAACCACTTGAATAAACTGCACAAACATAAGGTTCCATTGTATAACCATATTTACTGTAATTCATTCTATTTACTGTGGATAGTAATTTCCGTTGTTTTTAGTTTTCTCTGTTACAAACAGTGCTGCTGTGAGTTTTGTTGTCTACATCTTCTGACTCAAAAGTGCAAGCCTTTCTAGGGTTCATACCTCCAACTGGAATTGCTAGATCTTAGGATCTATACATCTTTAGCTTTACTAGATAAGGCCAAACAGTTTTTCAAGATGGTTGTACCAAATTACATGCCTACTCTCAATGTTTGAGAGTTCCTGTTGACTACCATCTTGACCAACATTTGATATTATCTATACCTTTCTAAAGTCTTTGAAGTCTCCAAAGAGATATGGAGGCTTGATAAAATGCTACATAAGTTCTTACAATCACTAGATCTATAGTGAGCAATACAAATAACATATTTTATATTCCAGAACAAATATAATTTTATATGTATATGCTTTTACTTCCCTAACAAAATGTCCAACCTTTTCTCCACATTTTTGAAATTTCTGAAAAATTTGCATTTCTGATCCTAGTGATGCTTTAAAAAGATTTTTTTTTTTTTTTTTTTTTTTTGAGACAGAGTCTCCCTCTGTCACCAGGCTGGAGTGCAGTGGTGCCATCTCTGCTCACTGCAACCTCCGCCTCCCCGGTTCAGGCAATTCTTCTGCCTCAGCCTCCCAAGTAACTGGGACTACAGGCACCTGCCACCATGCCCAGCTAATTTTTGTATTTTTAGCAGAGACGGGGTTTCACCATGTTAGCCAGGATGGTCTTGATCTCTTGAACTTGTGATCCGCCCGCCTTGGCCTCTCAAAGTGCTGGTATTACAGGCGTGAGCCACTACACCCAGCCAGAAAAGATTTTATATCATTAAAAAGAAATTAAGTGCTTATTTGTGTCTGATGATGAACTGCATAATTAGATACTGTAATTTGTTAATATTATTCAATAAAATCAAACTAACATTGAATGAGAATCTGTTCATGTCAGTGTTTATTTCGTGTAATGCTCATAACTTCCTTTTTACAGATAAAAAACAAAGATAAGAGAAGTGTTGAATCCACAGTGACACAGCCAATTGGTGGCTGGGTCAGAATACAAACCAGGGTCTGTCTGATTACAAAACAACTTTATCTTCATTAGTCATCACTGTCTCTTTTTACAATTTTCCTTCTTATCTATTATTTGTTCAATTTTTCAAAATAAAAAAACTTTTCTTTATCATTTTCTAAAAGAGAAATCTTTCTGGCTTTAAAACCTGAAGCTCAACAAAACTGGGTAAATCTCAGCTCTATCACTTTCCTGTGTGTGGCCTTTGGCAGGTGAGTTGACCTCCTTAAGGTTCGGTTTTATGATCTGACCCAAAGTGGGGATGATAATCATATGTATATCAGAGGATGGCTGTGAGGGTTAAATTAGATAAATAATGGCAAAGGGCAGGGCGTAGTGGCTCACACCTGTAATCCCAGCATTTTTGAAGGTCAAAGCAGGAGGACTGCTTGAAGCCAGAAGTTCGAGATCAGCCTGGGCAACATAGCAAAAACCCGTCTCAAAAAATTAAAAAATTAGCTGGGCATGGTAGTGCATGGCTGTAGTCCTGCCTACTCAGGAGGCTGAGACAGGAGGATTGCTTGAGCCCAGGGGGTCAAGGTTGCAGTGAGCTATGATTGTACCACTGCACTCCAGCCTGGGCCACAGAGTGAGACCCTACCTCTAAAAGAATAAAAAATAAAATAACAATAATTATAATAATGGCAAAGACTTAGCATAATGCCTTGCAAATAGTAAGTGTTCAATATCTGCTCTATTGATAAATTAATAATAATTAATTAATAATATTATCATTAATATGCTCTATTATTAATGTCGAGTCAACATTGATTAAGGGTAATATTTTAATACGCCTGGCCGCACTACTGATCTTTGTGTCTTCATATCCAGCAAAGCATCTGGCACAGGCCAGCTGGCCAAGGGAGTAATTCTGATTGGGTATCAGGGATGTCCTATGAAAGATGACACTTAAGTGAGACCTGAATGATGAGAATGAGCCAGCTATCTGGGGCAAAGCACCACAAGGAGAATGAACAGCCAGAGCAAAGGCCCTAAGGGAGAAAGCAGCAGCACGCAGGCCAGTGTGGCTGGAGCAGTGTGAGAGGTAAGCAGGTGCCTGATCACAGCCTTGCAGAACATGGTAGAAACTTTGGGTGGTTTCTCCAAGTTCCATGCCTCATCATTAGAAGATTTTTAAGCCAGTGAGTAATATGGCATAAACAAGGAATATCTGTAGAATAAATGAGCATTTTTAAAGGTTCACATTAGCAGTATGCCTCTACTACCTTAAGAGGTAAGATTTTGGCATGGATAGGGCTTTTTCAACCTCTGTCCAGATGACTGGCACATGGTGGCTGTTATGAACTGAATGTTTGAGTTCCCCCAAACTCCTATGTTGAAGCCCCAGTTCCCAATGTGATGGTAATTGGAGATAGGGCCTTTGGGAATTAAATGGGATTGGATGAGGCTATGAGGCTGGGGGATGATGGGATCAGTGGCCTGATGGAATCAGTGCCTTTATATGAAGAGACATCAGCGAATCTGTCTTGTTGTCTCTTTCTCTCCATGCAAGCACAGAGGAAAAGTCACGTGAGGATGCAGCAAGAAGGTGGCTGTCACAAGCAGGAAGAGGGCCCTCAGCAGGAACCAAATCAGCAGACACCTCGATCTTAGACCTCTCAGACTCCAGAACTGTGAGAAATCAATTTCTGTTGTTTGGGCCACCTGGTCTGTGATATTTTGTTATGGCAGCCCAAGCAGACTAATACAGTGGCCAAGATCTTGTCCAAGAAGAATGAATGAATCTCATGAAAACACTGAATGCATCTTACTTAATGCTTCTGCTTTGGGAGAAAAAATGCCTCTCGAGCTCAGGGAGAACAAAACAGACTAATTAAACAAGGAGAATAGTAAAGGAAATTGCTTTTTAAGCAAGGTTATATATTGGTTCATTGCTCATTTCTAATTGCACCAGAGGGAAACTAGATAATAGTAGTCACTAAATTCCAGAAGACTTGGCCCAAATTTCCTTCATCTAATTCAAAGGCTCGATTCAGCAAGGGGCAGATGATGCGACTGTCCCAATTGAATGAGACAGTGACCACACAATGTGCTGCTCTTGACACAGCATGCTGAACAGAGGAGGAAAGATCTTGGGGAAGGTCAGGTTTTTATTTATGTGCTTGTGCTGCCTATGGATTTCTAAATAGATGTTACAAGTGATTATGTCAAAACGTGGTACCTGTTAAGAGATTTAAATTTTCTATTTTGCTAATTCAGCAAATATTCACTGAGCACCTACAAATGCTAGAGCCTACTCTGGAAGCTTGGGATACAGCAGTGAATATGGTAGGTGGGGTATGGCAGTGAATATGACAGGTGGGATACGGCAGTGATTATGGCAGGTGGGATCTGCCAGTGAATATGGCAGGTGGGAATATGGGCAGTGATTATGGCAGGTGGGATACGGCAGTGAATATGGCAAGTGGGATATGGCAGTGAATATGACATGTGGAATATGGCAGTGATTATGGCAGGTGGGATTCGGCAGTGAATACGGCAGGTGGGATATGGGCAGTGATTATGGCAGGTGGGATACGGCAGTGAATATGGCAGGTGGGATATGGCAGTGAATATGACGTGGAATATGGCAGTGATTATGGCAGGTGGGATTCGGCAGTGAATACGGCAGGTGGGATATGGGCAGTGATTATGGCAGGTGGGATACCGCAATGAATGTGGCAGGTGGGATACGGCAGTGATTATGACAGGTGGGATACAGCAGTAAATATGACAGGTGGGATACAGCAGTGATTATGGCAGGTGGGATATGGCAGTGATTATGACAGGTGGGATACGGCAGTGATTATGGCAGGTGGGATACGGCAGTGATTATGACAGGTGGGATACGGCAGTGATTATGGCAGGTGGGATTTGGCAGTGAATATGACAGGTGAGATACAGCATGAATATGACAGGTGTGGTTCCAGTCCACAAGAGCTTGTATTGCAGTTAGAGGGAAACAGAAAATAAAACAAATCTAGGAAATCTCACATAGTGAAAAATGTTAAAAATAAAAAAGAAGTGTGCTAGAGAGTGACTAAGGAATTATTTCTGTCATTATTTACTTACTATTTGTGATGAATAAGCATTAATTGGAAGCTTAATATTGACCTCTGCTTTCTTTTTCTTCTTAAAAGAGGAAACAGTCTGATCACTTTTACTATAAAAATAAAAAAAAAAAGAATCCACGGCCTTTCTTGAGCTCTTATCATCAAATTAAATTTGTATATTTTGAGTCCTTTTGAAAGGGAAAATGGAAAATGCTGTTAGAGAAGTCCAGTGGGGCATTAAAGTCAAACGATGAGTCAGATTTGGAAAGTAAGCATTTTGAAAGCTGGGACCAGGTTTTCCTCAAGTCTGCATCTTGCATAGCAACTAGCATAATTCCTGGCATTATTAATAATGTAACAGAAAAAAGGGCCAATATATTAACAAGCAGCAATTCAAAGAAAAAGGAATCCAAATGGCTAATAAACATAGTAAGATGCTGGCTGGGCACGATGACTCACACCTGTAATCCCAACACTTTGGGAGGCCAAGGCGGGCCGACTGCTTGAGCCCAGGAGTTCAAGACCAGCCTGGGCAACATGGCAAAACCCAGTCTCTACAAAAAATGCAAAAATTACCTGGGTGCGGTGGTGTGCACCTGTAGTCCCAGCTACTCAGGAGGCTGAGGTGGGAGAATCCTCTGCCTTCCATATGAACCCGGGAGGCAGAGGTTGCAATGAGCCATGATCATGCCACTGCACTCCAGCCGGGATGACAGAGTAAGACCCTGTCTCAAAAACAGAAACAAAAAACGAAAGAAAACAAAAGTAATCAACAACAAAACGATAGTAAAATGCTAAAACCAACTGTGTAGCATCCTATAGGAGACATATCATGACTACAAGATTAATGATAGCTATAAGGCATTAACAAGCTCTCACAGGACTGACACTATGTGCCACTTAGCAGCGTGAGGCCACCTGGCCTGGGGATTTCCAAGCTGGCCCAGGGATTTCCAGGACATAAGGCCACCTCATCACGGATGCAAATCTCGTAAACCTTTAACAAAGCTTACCCTTATAAGACTAGCTTAACCTCCTCTTATGAAAGAAACGCCTGATAATTGACTGAACTAAATGCAGGTAGAAGAAATGGGAAGAATCTCCCAAACTCTGAGAATAGTCTCCAGATGGAGACCCTCCTGGACAGGCAGTCATCTGACCTCTGATTGAATCTGGCCCATGCCACCCACCTGCTCCCACTATCCGACTTGTAAGACCACTGCTAAAATAAATAGCTTGAACATCAGATGGTATTGAAGTCACATCTTTGATGTGAATCGGACTGAAGGGAAGTTGCTTCTAGGGAAACTGGTTTGCTAGGACCATCGAAAACCTCCAAACATGGCAAATTTATAACTCAAGTGAAACGAAGTAAAAAGAGAAGTTATATATATAATATATACAAGATATATAATATATATAAAATATATAGTATATATTATATAATATTTATTATAAATATATAATATGTAATATATAATATATAATATTTATTATAAATATATAATATATAATATTTATTATAAATATATATTTATAAATATATATTATAAATATATAATATATAATATTTATTATAAATATATATTATAAATATATGATATTTATTATAAATATATATTATAAATATATTATATATATAGTGGTAAAGTTTTAAAAGTTTTGTAAAAAAAACAAACTCCCGAGCGCCCCAAAACCGTGTGGAAATATGAACTCTTACTCATCACTGGAGGGAAAGATAATAGATGTCTTTTGAGAAGGCAATTTAAAAAGAAGTATCAAAAGTGTAAATGTACATCCTGCTTTACCTGGAAACTACACCAAGAACAACTTATCCCATGGATCTGTTTGTCAAAATGCATAAATATGAAAGTATAAAGATATTATTTATGATGCAATTTATGAAAATAAAAACTTGAAAATAAACCAAGACTCCATTAACACAGGGAGCTGGACACATAACATCTGGTGCATCCATATAGTAGAACAGTATGTAGCTGTATATAAAAGAATGGAGAGTTCTAGAAAATATACAATTAGGTGATAAAAATCAAGGAGCATTAAACATTTCTGAAACAATATATGAGTGTTAATAGTGGGGTCTAGAACGTGAGAAGGGCAAGGAAAAGATTCTTCCCTAGAGCCTCCAGGAAGAAACCAGTCCTGCTGATGCCTTAATTTTTCACCCAGTGAGACGCATTTCAGAATGCTGAGCTACACAACTATGAGATGGATTCGTGTTGCTTTAAGCCACAAAGTTTGTGGTAATTTGTTACAGCAAACTAATTTAAGTATTTACTTCTATAGCATGGGACTGGAGGTTGAGGTAGTGAGGAGGAAGATTTTATTTTTATGTCATTCCTATTTCACTTAAATATTTTAACATATGCATATATAACTTAAAAATATATATAAGAACAACAAGAAGATATTTTTAATTGGCATTTTAAAGAAGTACAATTCCCTTTGTAATGGCAAACTTTAAGGATAATTTTCTATTATAGTCAGAAAATAATGAGGTAAACATTAGAAAAATAAAATTCCAAAAGGAGAAAATTTTATATAGGTTCTAACTCACTCAAAAGAACTAGGACCTAAGCTTATGATTTCATCCTTATACTTCTTCTTTTTTTTGATACAGGGTCTCACTGTGTCACCCTGGCTAGAGTGAAGTGAGTGGTATGATCACAGCTCACCGCAGCCTCGACCTCCTTGGGCTCAGGCAATCCTCCCACCTTAGCCTCCCAAGTAGCTGGGACTATAGGCACATGCCACCACATCTGGCTAATTTTTGTATTTTTTTTGTAGAGACAGGATTTATCCATGTTGTCTAGGCTGGTCTTGAACTCGTAGGCTCAAATGATCCGCCCACCTCAGCCTCCCAAAGTGCTAGGATTACAGGCATGAGCCACTGCGCCTGGCTTCATCCTTACACTTCCATATGGTGGCCTCAATTTACTGAGAATATGTCTGTATGCAATAAAGATTAAAATAACACAATTTTGAAAAGTAGGTGGATACCTAATGAGAGGCAAAAATAAAACAAAACAAGATAAAACCTGTCTCATTTTTCATCCCTGAGCATTCAATGTCTGCCACCACTGTCCCATCACTACCTCTTTCAATTAACTGGATGATAAATGTGCATTACAAATTGCATGATGTTTTCTAGATAGCCATCCTATTATAGCACAGTGCACTAATAATAAAAATATACAATGTTTAATGAGCAGTATGTATCCCAGGCACCATTCTAATTATTTTCTATTAATCGCATTTTATCCTCACAATAACCCCACTGAGGTAGGTATTATCGTCATCTCCATTTCTTTGAGGCACAAAGGAGTTACCTGCCCAAGGTCCACACAGCTAATACATGAGGAGACCCAGACTGGAACGGAAACAGTGTAACTGCAGAATGGCCCATCTCAACCACTTAATCCTGTACTGAATACAGTTGAGAAAGTTTAACTCAACGTCTAAACAGAATTTCTTTGTGATGAACGTGGTGTAGGACAAGCTTTAGTTTTGGCAGTCCTTTCAGCATTGCAGATCTAGGGTGCTGGAATTAACATAATAATATGCTTCTTGTCTTTTCATTCCAACAGTTCAGCCTCTCCACCATACAGCTTTCCCAACATCCTTTCTTTTGTCTCCTATTTGAGCTCAAAATGATCTGGTATGCCAACCCCAGAAGCATTTATGATCAAATCCCTTTTATTTCCTTTTCAAGCCTCTGTTCTAGGACCTGTGCTTCAGCATTCCTGGGAACCAAAGTCATGCTGCAATAAAATCACTTGCAAATTGTTGGCATTATCAAATCACATTGGAAGACACTTGTACAAAAGAATGAACAAAATATAATAATGGAACAACTTTGGCATACTGCTGCTAATTAACGAAATACATTTTAAAATACTAAAAAAAAAAAAGAGAGAGAGAGAAAAGAAAACTCCATCTCAAGGAGTCCTGAAGCCCTTAGTGATCTCCAGGAAGACACTCCCGAACCCAGAGCATTTTAACTTAGGCTCCATGTGAATGGTTTCAGGACACCTGGGAAACACAAGAATCCTCCCCTTACAGCCATAATGATCTGTATCACCTTCCTCCATGAAAATCAGATCTGGAGTTCTCTTCTCTCTTGTTTACATTCTAGGTAAGGGGGAAAAGAGACAAGGAAAGACATATTCACAGACAAACTAATAAATTACTTTGAAGTACATTTATCCATTATTAATGACAGTATAGTGGTATAATTAAGCTATTTCAAATAACTCATATATAAGAACACGTTCTGTTGTAAAGAGATCCCTGTACACCTTGGGCTTCTTGTGATTTAAGGCCCAGCCTCACTTTTCCATCCCACATCTGCTCCCTAGGGCACCACAGAGTTTGTTTCTTCAAATCTTTTTTTTCTTGCCAGCTATTGCTATACTCTACCCTACCCACCTGAAGTTCCTTTCCCTAAAGACTGGTGCTGTATAATACACAGGTGTAAGAAGTTAGCCAGCTTGCTTTAGGCAGACAGTAAGGGAAGGGTCCCTGGAGAACCTCCAACCCGCCCCACAAATGCTTACACCAGATATTTTGTGCAGATGTGGGAACTTGCACAGGGGGCTTGCCTAAACATGCCCGCAGTGGAAAATTCCATTCCTTAACACATGTGCAGTAAGGGAAGTAAATCAATATGGAGTGGCTCACCCTAAGGGCCCACATGCGCACTGGAAGGATGGGGTGGAGCCGCCAGGAATTTGTGCCTTAAGCACAGTATTCAACTGTGAAGGGGGCAGCCAACAACCTGCTTTTCCAGACCCCCCTCTTTGCTGAGAGCTTTCCTTTTGCTTAATAAATTCTACTCTACTCACCCTCTGGTGTCCACGTGCCTAATTCCTCCTGGTTGTGAGACAAGAACCTGAACCTAGCTGAGCTAAAGAGCCAAAATCCTGCATCTTGGGCTCCCCAGCTTCCCAGTTCTCCCCACCCTCTTCTAACTTAGAGTTCTTAAAATCAGCACAAGAGTCTGTTTTACATTTTAATGTTTCATCTATATGCATAATAAGGAAGCAGATCTCACTGCTCAAGGACTTCATTTTTGCAATTATCCCTCCCACCTCTCTCCTTCATCAATTTCTCCTTCTTTAAGGATCATCAGTTTAAAATATACATCTCAACATAAACTACCACTGCAGCAGAAACCAACAACAAAACAAAATGAAAATAATGGTACCCCATCCCTCTGCTGCCTTTCACAGCAAAATCCTGATATGAACTGTTGATTCTTGCCATCTCTGTTTCTCCACATTTGCTCTTCAGCCTACTCTCATCAGACCTTGGTTCCTATCACCTCAGGGAAACTCTCCTGCCAAGTCATCAGCAACCTCCATCTTGCCAAATCCAGTAATTAATTCTTAGCTTCATTTTACTCACACAGTTCTGCATTTCTTCCTTTTGGAAAGACATTTTTCTCTAGGATTCTAGGTGACTGCTCTAGGAGACAGAGGTCTTCTTGGGTTTTTGTTTTTTTTGTTTGTTTGTTTGTTTGATGGAGTCTCGCTCTGTCACTCAGGCTGGAGTGCAGTGGTGCGATCTCGGCTCACTGCAACCTCCACCTCCCAGGTTCAAGCAATTCTCCTGCCTCAGCCTCCCGAATAGTTGGGATTACAGGTGCGCACCACCACGTGGCTAATTTTTGTATTTTTAGTAGAGACGGGGTTTCACTATGTTGGTCAGGCTGGTCTTGAACTCCTGACCTCAGGTGATCCGCCTGCCTTGGCCTCCCAAAGTGCTGGGATTACAGGCGTGAGCCATCACACTCAGTCTTCTTTTTTTTTGAGACAGTCTTGCTCTGTTGCCCAGGCTGGTGTGCAGTGGTGCAATCTCGGCTCACTGCAACCTCTGCCTCACAGTTCAACCAATTTTCCTGCCTCAGCCTCCTGAGTAGCTGGGACTACTGGCTAGAGTGAAGTGAGTGTGCACCACCACACCCAGCTAATTTTTGTATTTTTAGCAGAGACAGGGTTTCTCCATATTGTCCAGGCTGGTCTTGAACTCCTGACCTCGAGTGATCTGCCCACCTCGGCCTCCCAAAGTGCTGGGATTACAGGTGTGAGCCACCATGCCCGGCCCAACAGAGGTCTTTAATGGTTTCTCCTTTTCTCTACCTGCTTCTGTACACCAGAGTGTCTGAGGCTGGATCTTCAGATGTATTCTCGTCATTCCTTAGGTTATCTCCTCCAAGCCCATGGCTTAAAATGTCATCTATTCACTGATGACTCCCAAATTTCTTTCTCTAGCCCAGCCTCTACCCTGAGCCCAGACTTGTGTATCCAATTACCTACTTGTCTTCACCACTTGAAGGTCTAATAGGCATTTTTTTTTTTTTTTTGATACAGGGTCTCGCTCTGTCATCCAGAGCGAAACCCAGAGCGAGTCTGTTACCATGACTCAAGTGATCCTCCCACCTCAGCCTCCCTAGTAGCTGGGACTACAGGCACACACCACCATACCGGGCTAATTTTTGTATTTTTTGTAGAAACAAGGTTTTGCTGTGTTGCCCAGGCTGGTCTCAAACTCCTGAACTCAAGGGATCCACCCACCTCAGTCTCCCAAAGTTCTAGATTACAGGTGTGAGCCACGGTGCCTGACCATAACAGGCATCTTGAACTAAACATGATCAAAACAGAACTCTTGATGTCATACTCCCCACCCCCAAACCAACCCAGCTTCTCAATGAGAGGTCCCATTTTACAACATGACAGCACAGTACTATGTTTATGTCCATCTCACACACTTGACTGTAAGTTTCATGAGAGCAAGGGTTTTGTCTTGTTTTTTGCTGTATCTCTTGTGCCTACAGCAGTCTCTGGCAAAAAGACAGTGTTCAATGAATATTTGATGAATGCAGAATAGTGGGGCAAGGAAAGTAAAAACAATAAACACTGAAAATCTGCAAATAATCAAATAACTGTAAAGATGATTTTTTTTGAGACAAGGTCTCACTCTGTACTGCAGGATAGAGTTCATTGACACCATCACAGCTCACTGCAGCCTCAACCCCCCAGGCTCAAGCATTCCTCCTGCCTTAGCCTCCAAAGTAGTTGAGACTATAGGCACACGGCACCATGTCTGGCTAATTTTTAAAATTTTTATAGAGATGGAGTCCTACTATGTTGTCCAGGCTGGTCTTTAATCACTGGCCTCAAGCGATCCTCCCACCTTGGCCACCCAAAATGCTGGGATTACAAGTGTGAGCCACCGTGCCTGGCCTCTTTTGTTTTTCTTTTTTTAATCAACCTTTTTTTTTTTTTTTTTCCTGATGGGTTCTCACTATGTTCCCCAGGCTGTTCTCAAACTCCCAGTCACAAGTGATCCTCCCGCCTCAGCCTCCCAAGCAGCTGGGACTTCAGGCACACACCACTGGACCTGGCTATAATTCATATTTCTTGATAAGAAAAGTTGATGGATGCTTTTTCTTTCCAGATGTTAAAACTTGTTTTAACCCAATACGCAAATCTTTAAATATGCCTTTGGGTTTTTTTGCTCCAAGTTGTGATTTCATCCTTTTTCCTTTTTTTTTTTTTTTTTTTTTTTTTGAGACAGAGTATCATTCTATCACCCAGGCTGTAGTGCAGTGACACGATCTCGGCTCACTGCAACCTCTGCCTCCTGGGTTCAAGCGATTCTCCCATCTCAGCCTCCCAAGTAGCTGGGACTACAGGTGTGCGCCACCACACCTGGCTAATTTTTGTATTTTTAGTAGAGAAGGGGTTTCACTATGTTGGCCAGACTGGTCTCGAACTCCTGACCTCAGACAATCCGCCCACCTCAGCCTCCCAAAGTGTGGGATTACAGGCATGAGCCACCGTGCCCAGCTTATCCTTTTTCTTAAACTATGGTTAATTGGACACTTATCCTAGTAACTACTCTAAGAGCTTTGCATTACCTCATTTAATTCTCAAAGTAACACTATATTGCAATATTATGCTCATCTAACAGATGAAGAAACTCAGGCAGAGAGAGGCACGTAACTTGTCAGGGCCATGATTCAAATCCAAGTCTCTCTGACTTCAGATCCCATGCCTTAATTGCTAAGCTATATGGCCTCCTTTGTTCCTGCTGATGATTTGGATTACATTCAATACACTGTTTGCTTTAGGAAAATCACTTGATCTTAGTCCTGGGCAAACAGCTTGTGTTCCAAATAACAGCAGATATCCTGACCAGGCCTCAAATAGTCACTTGAATTGAGCTTAAACTAAGCTCTTTGAGAATGGCGTGAACCTGGGAGGGGGAGCTTGCAGTGAGCTGAGATCGCGCCACTGCACTCCAGCCTGGGGGACAGAGCGAGACTCCGTCTCAAAAAAAAAAAAAACAAAAAACAAAACTAAGCTCTTTGATTCCCAGCAAACAAGTAAAAAATAAAGCACATAGAGTTATATAATTCTAGTTATCTGATTTTTAAAATACTACTAGATATTCAAAAGAAATACATTTATTTGTTTACTATTATTTTTATCCCTATTATACAGATGAAAAAACTGAGGCTTGGAAAGATTACAAGATTCAGACAAGATTCCATTGAAAATAAGTGGTGGGGCCTGATTCTGAGCCCAGGTCTTTGTCTTCAGAGTCTATATTTTAAAACATCATATTATATGGTTCAGAAGAGCTTGCATTTTAAAAAATAGCCTATGTCGGCCGGGCATGGTGGCTCACACCTGTAATCCCAGCACTTTGGGAGGCCAAGGCAGGCAGATCACGAGATTAAGAAATTGAGATCATACTGGCCAACATGGTGAAACCCCATTTCTACTAAAAATACAAAAATTAGCTGGGCATGGTGGCACGTGCCTGTAGTCCCAGCTACTCAGGAGGCTGAGGCAGGAGAATCGCTTGAACCCAGGAGGTGGAGGTTGCAGTGAGCCGAGATCGTGCCACTGCACTCCAGCCTGGCGACAGAGTGAGACTCCATCTCAAAAAAAAAAAAAAAAAATCCTATATCAAGAGAAAACTAAGACTTAAGAAAAAATGGAGAGATTTATGGATTACATGTAATTTGGGCTATGCCCCTTGTGTACCTGTCAGCTGGGTTTTTGATAGGAATAGAATAAGAAGTAGGCAATTGGAGGTAACTCCAATTAATGACAGCCTGCCTCAAGTGCTGTGTGTTGCAGCCTGAAGAGAGATTATATGTATTGGGTACCAGGCAAGCAGGTGGCAAGGCTGACATTCCATAAAAAATGATGAAAACCTTGCTATGATGATTTGATTGGATGTAGGGGTCAGCTTATTTTCATAAGGGGAAAGGCAAAGAGAGACACAGGGTCAAATGGTCCTCAAGAAAAGCTCCGTCATACTGAGCACCTATTAGCAGACAAAAAACTAGATTGGAACGTTTTAGGCCTAGGTATTATTGGCTATCTTGTATACAAAAGAAACTTAGTATTGATTTTTTTCCAAGTCTCATTGTAAAAATAATTGTTTTCCATATTTCATTTCAGAAAATATCTATGAAAGACAATGATTTTAATTTTGAAATAGCAGATAAAGAATGAGTCTTCTTACCTATAAACAACTGAACTAATGATTTCTTAAATGCCACTGGTAAGTTTGAATAAGAAATAATTAATACGGATAAGAATGTAATATTCTTATTACAGGAGGGGTACCACACTGTAAATGGCACTGGGACATTTAGCCATTTAGGGGAAGATTTTTAATTTAAACTCTCTTGCTGTTCCACACATCAAACTAAATCTCATGTAGATGAACACATTGAAAGTATAAAAGCCACGAAAACAGGTAGAAATGAGTATTATATTTTTATAGTTTTGAGAAGAGTGAAGGGAAGAGGAAGGAGAGGGAAAGATATTCTCTGCTTAAAGGGCACTCTAAGGAATCTCCTAAGAAACAATCAGTACATTTAAAAACAGGAACACTAAACCTTCAGGGTGTCAAAAGTAAAATAAAATCAAAAGGAAAATAACAAACCAGTGGAAAGGATTTCTACTCATAGAAAACGATTAAGAAAATCAATAATTTTTTGGCACACACAAGTAGTAGAAACATTAAAACCTAACAAATGTGTAAAATTGATGAAATATAAATTTAAAAAGTCTTCTACCATTTGATCAATTATTTTTAATTATATTTCTGGATCAATAAATTTTAATTATATTTCTGGAATGCTATCCCTAAGAAATAACCCTGGCCAGACGCAGTTGCTCATGCCTGTAATCCTAGCACTTTGGGAGGCCAAAGCAGGCAGACCGCTTGAGCTCAGGAGTTTGGGACAAGCCTGGGCAACATGGCAAAACCCTGTCTCTACCAAAAATACAAAAAAAAAAAAAAAAAAAAATTAGCCAGGCATGGTGGGGCGTGCCTGTAATCCTAGCTACTTGGGAGGCTGAGATGGGAGGATCTCTTGAGCCTGGGAGGTGGAGGTTGCAGTGAGCCAAGATCGTACCACTGCACTCCGGCCTGGGCAAAGAGTGAGACCCTGTCTCAAAAAAAAAAAGAAAATCCTAAATACATTTTAAAAATATATGCAAACAGCAATGAAATAATAATACAATAGCTAACACTCACCCAGCCCTAACTCTGCACCAGGTACTATTTCAAGTATGTCACATGTAAGGACTCATTTAATCCTCACAACAGACCCTTGAGTTAGGAATTGTCATTATTCCCACTTAATAGCTAACAAGATCGAGGCCCAGAGAGGATAATTTACTTGCCTAAGGTTATTCAGCTAACATGTGCATAGCCAGTGTTAAACCCTGGCAAATAAGAAAATGAATGCATTTGCAAAATCTGTGCATACTTAAAGGGCACTCTAAGGAATCTCATAAGAAACGATCAGTAGATTTAAAAACAGGAACACTAAACCTTTAGGGTGTCAAAGTAAAATAAAATCAAAAGGAAAATAAACCAGTGGAAAGGATTTCCACTTACAGAAAAGGATTAAGCTCTAAAAACAAAATCCAAAGCTTCTAACTTCAATTATTTGCAAAGTTTTAGGTAATAAACTTGTAAGAAATTATATTAAATTGTACTTAATACAATTTTTCTTTTGTGAATTTTTTTTTTTTCTTTTAAGACAGAGTCTCGCTCTGTCGGCCAGGCTAAAGTGCAGTGGCACGATCTCAGCTCACTGCAACGTCCGCCTCCTGGGGTCAGGCAATTCTCCTGCCTTGGCCTCCCTAGTAGCTGGGACTACAGGTGCCTGCCACCATGCCCAGCTAATTTGTTTTGTATTTTAGTAGAGACTGGTTTCACAATGTTGACCAGGCTGGTCTCGAACTCCTGACCTCAAGCGATCCACCTGCCTTGGCCTCCCAAAGTGCTGGGATTACAGACATGAGCCACTGCATATGGCCTTTTTTTTTTTTTTTTTTTTTTTTTTTTGAGACAGGGTCTCACTCTGTATCCTAGGCTGGAGCGCAGTGATGGAATCATGGCTCATTGCAGCCTTGACCTCCCTGGGCTCAGGTGATCATCCCACTTCAGCCTCCCGAGTAGCTGAGACTAAAGGTGCACACCATCATGCCCAGCTAATTTTTGTTTTTTTGTTTGTTTGTTTGTTTGTTTTGGAGAGACAGGGTCTTACCATGTTGCCCAGGCTGGTCTTGAACTCCTGAGCTCAAGTGATCCACCTGCCTCATCCTTCCAAAGTGGTAGGATTACAGGTGTGTCTTACCATGTCCCGTCTTGTGCATCTTCTTTATCCAACATGAAATGCTATGCTGTTAGCCTTCAATAAAATTTCCTGGAAATCTAGTTTAAAAAAAAATTCAGGTGCCTAGGTCCTATCTGGCCAAGAATAAGGGGAAATAGACTGTTTTTAGTCTGTGATTTGATGGGATACACTGGGGAAAGTCTGTCTCCAAAAGCAGTTAGAGCAGAGCACTAACTCTAGTTATACTTCATAAAAATTCTTGTTGAATTCAACCTTCATAGCTCTGACCTCTACTCAATTTCAGACAGGAGTACAATTCACAGATTGCTAATGGAGAACAGATCAATTTCAAGGCCATCTAGGACATGCATAACCATACACAGAGAAGAACCTGGCTTTAAGTTTTTAATTAATAATACTTCCCTTAGGCTGGAGAGCCAAGTAGTATCTGCCTCCATGTTTCCCAGAGGGCACTAATCAGACTGTGTACTTGGAGGATATCCAGCAGGTGTTTTCTGCTCTGATTCAGGCCACTATCCTGAAAGGTGCAGTCCATGGGGAGAGAACTGCATTCTAGTATTAGAATAAATTGTAACTTCATTTTATTCCCCTGAACAGTCTAATAAAGGTAGGCATGCCCTTATACATGCAGCTATTCCCAGCAGTGTTTGCAAAGCGTTTGCACAGAGTAGGTGCTTAATGGAATGGTAATTTCTGAAGGAAACATTTTGCAGCCAATTAAAATACAGCACAGAGTTTCCATTTCTCTTTGCCGCTGTCTGGAAAATTGTAGATACATATGACTTTCTGCACGTACACATCGAAAGCATTTGCCAACTCAATGGTGTTTCTCTCAATCTGAAGCTTAATGGTGGATTTGCCCATCACAATAAGAGGGTAATAATACTGTCTGACCTTGGAGTGACTCACTGCCCTCCTCTGCTGACTGGCCCCAGGCAGGAAGGGTAATGCAAAATAAATGAATGGGTGAGTACATCGCAATGAGGTGAACATCATCAACTCTACTCTTCTGAATCCTATTAATTTTAAATATATCTTCTCTCTTTGTTCTAATAGCAAGTGCCCCAAATAGAATGAGATATAATAAAGAATTCATTTGTAGCCAAAGTTACATATTTATTATCTTTTACTCTTCTTTCTTATTTTCTTTCTTCCTTACTGGTGTAGAACATGCATTTTTAAGGGGTGGGGAGTGGTATCACCTCTGTGGCTGAGTATTGGTCCCCAAAGATATCCAGTTCCTAATCCTGGGAACCTGTGACTCTTACCTTATATGGTAACACAAGCTTTGCAGATACGATTAAATTAAGGATTTTGAGATGCAGAGATTATCCGGAATTAGCAAGGTAGACCCTAAGTGTAATCACACTGTCCTCATGAGAGGCAGGCAGAGGGAGACTTGACAGAAGAAAAAGGCAACGTGACATTGAAACAAGATGCTACACGGCTGCTGGCTTTGAAAGATGGAGGAAGCAGACATGAGTCAGTGAACACACAGAATGCAAGTCTGGAAGCCAGAAAAAGATGGAAGCTGGAAGAGGAAATGTACGCTTCCCCAGAGCCTTCCTGGGGGTATGGCCCTACACCTTGACATTACCCCCAGTGAACTGCATTTCCGGCCTCTAGAACTACAAGGGAATAAGTTCGTGCTGTTTTCAGCCATAAAATTCATAGTACTTTGGTATAGCAGCCATAAAAAATTAATATGGCCCCCAAAGGGGTGAAAATTGGTCCTTGGGGAATCAAATAATGCTTAGGTTATTACAGTGGTTTGTAGTCTTTCCAAGATTAAACTCTAACTGACAAAATCTTACTCTTCAGTACAGGCATATCTTGGAGATATTACAGGTTTGGTTTCAGACCACTGCAATAAAGCAAATATCTCAAAAAAGTGAGTCACATGAAATTTTTATTTTCTAGTGCATACAAAAGTTATGTTTACACTATACTGTAGTCTCTTAAGTGTTCAATACCATATCTAAAAAATACATACCTTAATTAAAAAATGCTTGAGTGGGCCAGGCATGGTGGCTCATGCCTGTAATCCCAGCACTTTGGGAGGATGAGGCGGGCAGATCACTTGAGGTTGGGAGTTTGAGACCAGCCTGACCAACATGGTGAAACCCCATCTCTACTAAAAATACAAAATTAGCCGGGTGTGGTGGTGCATGCCTGTAATCCCAGCTGCTTGGGAGGCTGAGGCAGGAGAATCACTTGAACCCAGGAGGTAGAGGTTGCAGTGAGCTGAGATCATGCCAGCTCTTGTTGCACTCCAGGCTGGGCAACAAGAGCAAAACTCCAACTCAAAAAACAAAACCAAAAACACTTGAGTGTTAAAAAACGCTAACGATCGTGAGCCGAGATCGCACCACTGCACTCCACTGCACTGGAGTGCAATGGTGCGCTCTCGGCTCACTGCAACCTCTGCCTCCTGGGTTCAAGTGATTCTCCTGCCTCAGCCTCTCGAGTAGCTGGGATTACAAACATGCGCCACCACGCCCGGCTCATTTTGTATTTTTAGTAGAGACAGGGTTTCTCCATGTTGATCAGGCTGGTCTCAAACTCCTGACCTCAGATGATCCGCCTGCCTCGGCCTCCCAAAGTGCTGGGATTACAGGCGTAAGCCACAGCGCCCGGCCAACAATTTCCTTTCTTTTCTTTTTTTTTTTTTTTTTTTGAGACGGAGTCTGACTCTGTCACCCAGGCTACAGTGCAGTGGTGCAATCTTGACTCACTGCAACCTCCGCCTGCCAGGTTCACGCCATTCTCCTGCCTCAGCCTCCCAAGTAGCTGGGACTACAGGCACCTGCCACCACGCCCAGCTAATTTTTTTGTATTTTTAGTAGAGACGGGGTTTCGCCATGTTAGCCAGCACGGTCTTGATCTCCTGACCTCATGATCCACCTGCCTCGGCCTCCCAAAGTGCTGGGATTACAGGCGTGAGCCACTGCGCCCAGCCTTTTTTTTTTTTTTTTTTTTGAGACAGAGTTTTGCTCTTGTTGCCCAAGCTGGAGTGCAATGGCGCGATCTCGGCTCACTGCAACCTCCACCTCCCGGGTTCAATCGATTCTCCTGCCTCAGCCTCCCAAGTAGCTGGGATTACAGGCGTGCCACCATGCCCGGCTAATTTTTTGTATTTTTAGTAGAAATGGGGTTTCAGCATGTTAGCCAGGCTGGTCTTAAACTCCTGACCTTAGGTGATCTGCCCACCTTGGCCTCCCAAAGTGCTGGGATTACAGGCGTGAGCCACCACACCCGGCTGACAATTTCTTAAAATAAGAAAATTAATTTTGCTGCACCAATTGTTCCTTTTGTGAAGAAAGATTTCTCTGAAGCATGCAATGCTGTTTGATCGCATTTTACTCATGGTACAACTTCTTTCAAAATTGCAGTCGATCCTCTCAAAGCCTGCCCCTGCTTTATCAGCTAAGTTTATGGGATATTCTAAATCCTATGGTGTCATTTCGACAACTTTCACAGTGTCTTCTCCAGGAATAGATTCCCTCCCAAGAAATCATTTCCTTTGCTCATCCATAAGAAGCAACTCCTCATCCATTCAAGTTTTATCATGAGATTACAGCAATTCAGTCACATCTTTAAGCTTCATTCTTAATGCTAGTTCTCTTGCTATTTCCACCATATTTACGAGTACTTCCTCTACTGAAGTCTTAAAAAAAAATCCTTTTTAGGAGATGGGGGTCTCACTGTGTTGCCCAGGCTGGTCTTGAACTCTATGCTTGTGATCCACCCGCTTCAGCCTTCCAAAGGGCTGGAATTATAGGCCACCATGCCCAGCCTGCTCTACTGAAGTCTTAAAGCCCTCAAAGTCACCATGAGGTTTGGAATCAACTTCTTCGAAACTCCTGTTCATGTTGATAATTTGACCTCCTCCCAACAGTATCTAGAATTGTGAATCCTTTCCAGAAGGTTTTCAATAGACTTTGCCCAGATCCATCAGAGGAATCACTATCTACAGCAGCTATATCTTTATAAAATGTATTTCTTATATAATAAGACTTGAAAGTCAAAATGACTCCTGGATCCATTGGCTGCCCAGTGGATGTTGTGTTAGCAGGTATGAAAACAACAGTCATCTCCTTATACTTTCAGAGCTCTTGGGTGACCAGGTACACTGTCAATGAGCAGTAATATTTTGAAAGGAACCTTTTTTTCTGAGTGGTAGGTCTCAACAGCAGGCTTTAAACGTTTGATAAACCACTCTATAAACAGACGTGCTGTCATTCAGACTTTGTTGTTTCATTAATAGAGTACAAGTAGAGTACATTTAGTATCATTCTTAAGGGCCCTAGGATTTTTAGAATGTTCAATGAGCATTGCCTTCAACTCAAAGTCACAAGCTGTATTAGCCCCTAACAAGAGCCCAAGGGACAAAAGCCTGTCCCTTGAAACTTTGAAGCATTGACTTCTCCTCTCCAGCTATGAAAGTCCTAGCCTGAAGGCATCTTCTTCCAATACAAAGTCGTTTCATCTACATTTGAAGATTTGTTATTTGGTGAAGCCAGCTTTACCAATGATCTCAGCTAGATCTTCTGGATAACTTACTGCAGCTTCTCTATCAGCACTTGCTGTTTACTTGCCCTTTTATGTTATGAAGATGGTGTCTTTCCTTAAACCTCATGAACCAACCCATTGGCTTCAAGCTTTCCTTCTGCAAGTTCCTCACCTTTCTCAGCCTTCAGTGAATTGAAGGGAGTTAGGGCCTTGCTCTGAATTAGGGTTTGGTGGCCAAGCACAGTGGCTCACACCTGTAATCCCAGCACTTTGGGAGGCCGAGGCGGGCAGATCACAAGGTCAGGAGATCAGATCGAGACCATCCTGGCTAACATGGTGAAACCCTGTCTCTATTAAAAATACAAAAAAATTAGCCGGGTATGGTGGCGGGCACCAGTAGTCCCAGCTACATGGGAGGCTGAGGCAGGAGAATGGCGTGAACCCAGGAGGCAGAGCTTGCAGTGAGCCGAGATTGTGCCAATGCACTCCAGCCTGGGCAACAGAGCAAGACTCTGAAAAAAAAAAAAAAAAAAAAAAAAGAATTAGACTTTGGCTTAAAGGAATGTTATGGCTGGTTTGATCTTCTATCTAGAACCACTCAAATTTTCTGCATATCGGCAATGAGGCTGTTTCACTTTCTTATCATTTGTGTGTTCAACAGAATAGCACTCCTCATTTCCTTCAAGAACTTTTCCTTTGCATTCACAGTTTGGCTGTTTGGCACAATAGGCCTAGCTTTTGACCTATCTAGGCTTTCAACATGCCTTCCTCACTAAGCATAATCATTTCTATGTTTTGATTTAAAGTGAGAGATGTGCAACTCCTCCTTTCTCTTGAACATGTAGAAGCCATTGTAGGGCTATTAGTTGGCCTAATTTCAATATTGTTGTGTCTCATGGAATAGGGAGGTCTGAGGAGGAGGAGAAAGATGGGAAATAGCTGGTGGGTGGAGCACTCAGAACACATACAACATTTATGGATTAAGTATCAATTAAGTCTTTATTATTATTATTATTTGAGATGGAGTCTTGCTCTATCACTGAGGCTAGAGTGCAGTGGCATGATCTTGGCTCACTGCAACCTCCGCCTCCCCAGTTCAAGCGATTCTCCTGCCTCAGCCTCCCAAGTAGCTGGGACTACAGGTGTGCGTCACCACACCCAGCTAATTTTTTTGTATTTTTAGTAGAGATGGGGTTTCACTATGTTGGCCAGGCTGATCTCGAATTCCTGACCTCACGATCTGCCCACCTCAGCCTCCCAAAGTGCTGGGATTACAGGCGTGAACTACCACACCTGGCCTCAATTAAGTGTTATATGGATGCAGTTCAGGCCATCCCCAAACAATTACAATAGTAACACCAAAGACAGTGATCACAGATCACCATAACAGATATAACAATAATGAAAAAGTTTGGGCCAGGCGCAGTGGCTCACGCCTGTAATCCCAGCACTTTGGGAGGCCGAGGGCAGATCACGAGGTCAAGAGATCGAGACCAGTCTGGCCAACATGGTGAAACCCTGTCTCTACTAAAAATACAAAAAAATTAGCTGGGTGTGGTGGCATGCACCTATAGTCCCAGCTACTTGGGAGGCTGAGGCAGGAGAATCACTTGAACCTGGGAGGCGGAGGTTGCAGTGAGCCAAGATCGCACCACTGCACTCCAGCCTGGGTGGCTGATCGAGACTCTGTCTAAAAAAAAAAAAAAAAAGAAAAGAAAAAGTTTGAAATACTGTAAGAATTACCAAAATGTGACACAGTCATAAAAGGAGCATATGCTGTTGAAAAGAAAATGGTCCCAGTAGACTTGCTCAATGTAGGGGTGCCACAAACCTTCAATTTGTAAAAAAAAAAACCCACAATATCTTCCAAGAGCAAGAAAGCAAAGCACAGTAAGACACAGTATGCCTGTGTTTAATTTTGTGGCAACTAGGAAAAAAAAATAGCCATAAAGGATCTTTTCAGAGATGATAATGAAGAAAAGGTTGTGAAACATCATTTCATTGGAACGCACGACCAACAAAAGACTAATTCAAAGATGATACAAGATTTTTATTCCTCTTCAGGCCTAGTTTCATTATCATTAATTGTTGAGGGCAAGAGAGCAGGTGTTATCCTGACAGGTTATTTTACATCCTTCATTCTAACTACTGAGTTAACTATCCAAGAAAGCTTGTGGGACACCTGTTTTTACAAACCAACCTCTACCCCATTCTTAGACAGACACACTCTCCTGTAAGCTACAATAAGACACATGAGTAATTCTGCCTGTAAATATTGTCACTCTGTTAATATGTGTGTTTTCAAAGGACTGTAGGAATATTGTGTGCCAAGCCTATCAGGAAACAAATTTTTATATTCTAGATGTCTATAATCTACTGTAGGCTGGAGAATAGTATATATTGTGATAGCCTCAGACGAGATGTTTAGGCTGGCAACAGTGGCTCACACCTGTAATCCCAGCACTTTGGGAGGCTGAGGCAGGCAGACTGCTTGAGCCCAAGAGTTTGAGACCAGCCTGGGCAACATGGGGTGATCCTGTCTCTACAAAAAATATAAAAATTATTCAGGTGTGATGGCACATGGCTGTAGTCCCAGCTACTCAGGAAGCTGAGGCAGGAGGATTGCCTGAGTAACCTCCACTCAGGAGGTGGAGGTTGCAGCAAGCCAAAATTGTGCCACTGCACTCCAGCCTGGGCAACAGAGTGAGAGACTCTAACTCCAGAAAAAAAAAAAAAAAAAGAAAGAAAAAAAAAGTGGTGTTTAGTTATAATTCTGCTTTTCTTTCTTTCTTTCTTTCTTTCTTTTTTTTTTTTTGAGACGGAGTTTTGCTCTTGTTGCCCAGGCTAAAGCGCAGTGGTGCGATCTTGGCTCCCCACAACCTCCGCCTCCCAGGTTCAAGTGATTTCCTGCCTCAGCTTCCCAAGTAGCTGGGATTACAGGCATGAGCCACCACACCTGGCTAATTTTGTATTTTTAGTAGAGATGGGGTTTCTCCATGTTGATCAGGCTGGTCTTGAACCCCCGACCTCCGGTGATCTGCCCGCCTCGGCCTCCCAAAGTGCTGGGATTACAGGCGTGAGCCACCACGCCCTGCCTAATTTTGCTTTTTAAAAAGCTGTCTTAGTGAAACCAAAAATATATCAGAAAACTATTTCTAAAAAAGTACTTTTAATGTTCCTGAACAAGTGGTGATATGGAAGCTGGCTAACTAGGTAATCAATATATAGCCTGCCTTATGAGATCCATAGTGTTCTAACTTAATTCAAATTGAAAGTTAAATTTGGATCTACTAATACAGCTAATCCAGTTAGGTCTACAGTATTTGTTTTTAAAAATATTTTTGTTGGATATGCATTAAAAAGTGTAATTTGAGGTATATATAAAAATTCATTACGATATCACTAAGCTCATTCATTAGGTTGCTCAAGTATATGTTTCCTATAACCTTCAAGAAGTTAAGTCCTGAGTAGATTCTGGTATCCTTGATTTTTAGATTAATCTGTAAATTCCCTTAGGAGAATTAAATGCCTGAACAGAATCTTAATCAGGCTAGACCTGCCAACTGGGATGCTCTTTGGAAATAGAGGTCAAGACGTAAAAAAAAGATTAAAATTGTCCAGTAAGCATCCCAGATGGAATGCTGACTATGCATTACTTGCCCGCCTACCAGGCTGCACAAGGAACAAAACCTGAACTTAGGGTGGGAGAAAAAGTTTGAAACCAAATTGAGCTATTTTTAGTCCAAGAATCAATATGTACAAAATGGATTGTGCACAGATCTTTATTCTTATGGTCCGAGAAGTAGAGAACTGGTGTTTGACCCTACTCAGAAGATAGGAAAGGGGAGGGAGGGAGGGAAGGAAGGAAGGAAGGAGGAGGAAGGGGGAAGAACGGGAGGGAGGGAGGCAAGAGAGAGGACAGAAATCCTTATATATATGCTAAGTACACCATACGAGTTCCGCATTTTAAAAAGTAGGCTGCTTTCCACTGCTTATTTTTAAATGGTGAACAATAACAGATAAAAATGTAATGACCTTGAAAAACAGTAAAGGGAATATGTGTAAGCCTACTTTTTTTTTTTTTTTTTTAAAGACAGACTCTTGCTCTGTCATCCAGGCTGGAGTGCAATGGCACAATCTCAGCTTACTGCAACCTCCTCCTCCTGGGTTCAAGCGATTCTCTTGTCTCAGCCTCCAGAGTAGCCGGGGTTACATGTGCCCGCCACCATGCCAACATAACTTTTGTATTTTTAGTAGCGATGGGGTTTCACCATATTGGCCAGGCTGGTCTCGAATTCTTGACCTCAAGTGATATGCCCGCCTTGGCCTCCCAGCAAGATTACTTTTAAAACATAATTTTTTTAAACCTATGTCAGTGCCAGAGTTGCCATTTCTACATTATGTCCTGGGCAATGCTCTCTGCCATTTTCCATTTAATTTTCCATTTGGCGCTGGCTTAATGACAGGCTACTACACAAGAGGTTGATGTCACTGTCATATCAGGCCAGAAGTTTCGGCCCCTTCTTATTGTCTAATGCAGAAATAAAGCAGTCATGGGGAAAGGATTCCCTATTTAATAAATGGTGCTGGGAAAACTGGCTAGCCATATGTAGAAAGCTGAAACTGGATCCCTTCCTTACACCTTATACAAAAATCAATTCAAGATGGATTAAAGACTTAAACGTTTGACCTAAAACCATAAAAACCCTAGAAGAAAACCTAGCCATTACCATTCAGGACATAGGCATGGGCAAGGACTTCATGTATAAAACACCAAAAGCAATGGCAACAAAAGACAAAATTGACAAATGGGATCTAATTAAACTAAAGAGCTTCTGCACAGCAAAAGAAACTACCATCAGAGTGAACAGGCAACCTACAAAATGGGAGAAAATTTTCGCAACCTACTCATCTGACAAAGGGCTGATATCCAGAATCTGCAATGAACTCAAACAAATTTACAAGAAAAAAACAAACAACCCCATCAAAAAGTAGGTGAAGGACATGAACAGACACTTCTCAGAAGAAGACATTTATGCAGCCAAAAAACACATGAAAAAATGCTCACCATCACTGGCCATCAGAGAAATGCAAATCAAAACCACAGTGAGATACCATCTCACACCAGTTAGAATGGCAATCATTAAAAAGTCAGGAAACAACAGGTGCTGGAGAGGATGTGGAGAAATAGGAACACTTTTACACTGTTGGTGGGACTGTAAACTAGTTCAACCCTTGTGGAAGTCAGTGTGGCGATTCCTCAGGGATCTAGAACTAGAAATACCATTTGACCCAGCCATCCCATTACTGGGTATATACCCAAAGGACTATAAATCAGGCTGCTATAAAGACACATGCACACGTATGTTTATTGCGGCATTATTCACAATAGCAAAGACTTGGAACCAACCCAAATGTCCAACAATGATAGACTGGATTAAGAAAATGTGGCACACATACACCATGGAATACTATGCAGCCATAAAAAATGATGAGTTCATGTCCTTTGTAGGGACATGGATGAAATTGGAAACCATCATTCTCAGTAAACTATCACAAGAACAAAAAAACAAACACTGCATATTCTCACTCATAGGTGGGAATTGAACAATGAGATCACATGGACACAGGAAGGGGAACCCCACTCTGGGGACTGTTGTGGGGTGGGGGGAGGGGGGAAGGATAGCATTGGGGGATATACCTAATGCTAGATGATGAGTTAGTGGGTGCAGCGCACCAGCATGGCACATGTATACATATGTAACTAATCTGCACAATGTGCACATGTACCCTAAAACTTAAAGTATAATAATAAATAAATAAATAAATAAATAAATAAATAAATAAATAAAGCAGTCACAAATTAAAAGAATTGGTACCATTTTGAAGCTGTGTCCAAATGATGTTCAACATTTGGATTCTGGGAATATTTAAATATGCTTTTTTTGGAGGAGGGGGTAGGGGGCAGGGTCTTGTTCTGTCACCCAGGCTGGAGTGCAGTGGTATGATCACAGCTCACTGCAGCCTCAACCTCCCGAGTATCTGGGACTACAGGCACACGCCACCATGCCCTGCTAATTTTTGTATTTTTTGTAGAGACAGAGTTTCGCCATGTTGCCCAGGATGGTCTCAAACTCTTGGGTTTAAGTGATCCACTCACCTTGACCTCCCAAAGTGCTGGGATTACAGGCATGAGTCACCATGCTCAGCCTAAATACGCTTTAATTTTTGAAGTTTTCTCCCAAATATTTGGGATTATGGAGATGCCTGTCCTTATCATCTCCCCAAAATAACCTCAAAAAGGCTAAAGATATTTTTGAATAAAGAGCAACTGACATCATTTTGTGAACTATTAAAAAGCTATTACATTATTTCTCATTGACAAATATAATATCACTTTCCAAATCATGGAAAAAATTATTTCCAGTCCTTAAAAGAGAAATTAAATGTCCATGCTCCTTAAAATAATGCTTGCATTTTATGACCAATCAATATTCACTGGTTCTATGAGCAGATGGGATGACAGCAGTCATGATAATTTCACAGATGTGCATAATGCACCTTCCTTTAACAGAAACCTGACTCTCCCTTGGGGACACTGTTTCCCCTGCAACTCTCTGAAGTGCTATTTCACTCCCATGCCACTGGGCCTGAGACAGATGCCCCTTTTGCTCCACATGGCTGGAAAGTGAGGTGAGACAGACGCCGCTTTTGCTCCACGTGGCTGCTTTCAGAGCATTCTCCTTCTCTCCTCTCTAAAAATTCTGTGCTTTAAACCTCATGTCATCAGATTCTATCATCCGCTATCCAGCACTGTTACTGTTATGTAGCAAACACCAACTCATTCCCCTTCATTTCTCATTGCCATTGCCATCATCTCTAGAATTTCTGGTCTTAATTCCTGGCATTCTCAATACCCACACAGATGATCTCAATTCTTGAATTCCTATTTATTTATTTGCTTGCTTATTTATTTATTTATTTATTTATTTATTTATTTATTTATTTATTTGAGACAGGGTCTCATTCTGTTGCCTAGACTGGAGTGCAGTGGTGTGACCTTGGCTCACTGCAGTCCTGACCTCCTGGGCTCAAGCAATCCTTCCATCTCAGCCTCCTAAGGTGCTAGGATTACAGGCAGGAGCCACTGCATCCAGCCCTGAATTCCTCTTTTTGAGGGATCTTCTCTCCTATGGCAGGCACTCACTCCCATGACTCCTACGGTTCACTCTCCCAGGTGATTATCGCCCACTTTTGTCCCTTCAAATCTCAGCCCCTCCCCTACCTTCCCTCTCAGCTGCTGACCTTGCTTCCACCGCAGTGAGGAGATGGAAGCAGACTGAAGAGGACTTGCTTCACTCACATCTATCTACCCATATGCTGGCATCCACATCCACATATTCTGCTTTTCCAAGTGTTACCATATATTAAATTTTCTAGCTCCTTCTAAGGGCAATCCCTCCATTTTTGTACTAGATTCCATCCTTTTCTCCTTTACTCAAGGAAATCAATTGCTCTAGGCTTTCTTCTCTTTCCTTCTTACATCATTAAAATTTCCCACTTTATGGGGTCATGGCCATTAGCATTCACAAATGTTATTTCTTCCATCTTAAAAAGGAATAAAACCCAACAACTTGCACGTGAGCCCATCTCGTCCCCTAGCTACCTCCTCATTTCTTTGGTCCTATTTGCAAACAGACTCCATGAAAAACGCTTCTATTCTCTGCCTGCAATTCCTCTCCTTTTATTCTCTCTTAAACTTACTATCCTCAGCCTTTTTCTCCCAACACTCTATGGAAACTTCTCTCACTGAGGTGACCAATGACCCCTTGTTCGTAAACCCAATGGTCAATATATGTCCTCGTCTTGTTTGACTTATTAGCAGCATCCGCACTGTTGATCATTTACTTCCTGGATATCATTTTCTTATTTGGCTCTCAGAAAGCATTGTCTACCTTCTTTCTACCTCACTACTATTTTTTAGTCTCCTTTACCAGTTTCTTTTTTTGTCCCCCACCTCTCAATGCTGCAGTGACCCAGGGCTCAGTGCTTGCCCTTTTCTCTCTACATATCTGCCCTTGGTGATTTCACCAATGCCATGGCCTTACATAGCATCTATCTACTGATGGATCCAAAAATTTTTTGTTTTTGTTTTTGTTTTGAGACAGAGTCTTGCTCTGTCGCCAAGACTGGAGTGCAGTGGCACAATCTCGGCTCACTGCAACCTCCACCTCCCGGGTTCAAGCAATTCTCTTGCTTCAGCCTCCTGAGTGGCTGGGATTATAGGCATGCACCACCACGCCCGGCTAATTTTTTGTATTTTTAGTACAGATGGGGTTTTGTCATGTTAGCCAGGCTCGTCTCAAACTCCTGGCCTCAAGTAATCCGCTCGCCTCAGCCTCCCAAAGTGCTGGGATTACAGGCGTGATCCCAGGTGCCCCGCCAGGATCCAAAATGTATACCTCCATTCCCAGACCTCTCTCCCAAGCTCTTAGCCCTTATCACCCACTATTCACTCAACATCCACAGGTGGACCTCTAATAGAAATTTAAAACTTAACATGTTCGAAACTGAACTTCTGACCTTCCTTCCTAAAATGTGCTTCATTTGAAGGTTTTCCCATCTCAATTGATAACTCCATTTTTCACGTTGGTCAAGCTAAACCCTCAGACTAGAGTTCTTTTCTCATGCCTATCTCTCATTCTCTACATTCAACCCATTAGAAAATCCCATTGGGGCTACTCTCAAAAATTATTCAGAATATGACTACTTTTCACCACTTCTACCCATCATCCTGGTCCAATCCACCATTTTTGCATATCTGGATGACTGCAGTAACCTCACATTCCTATCCTTGCCTCAATAAAGTCAGGTTCCTCCTTTGCCCAGCACCTTCCTGTAGCTCCTCATTTCACTCAAGATAAAAGCCTAAATCCTTTCAATGGTCTACAAGGCCCTACATGATCTGGCTTCCTGTTACCTCTCTGACTTCATGACAGTGTGTATTGGTGAAAGGATAGACACACAGATCAATAGAGCAGAATACAGATTCCAGAAATAGACCTACACAAACATGGCCAATAAATTTTGACAAAAGTGCAAAGGCAAGTCAATGGAGAAAGAGTAGTCTTTTCAACAAATGGACAATTGGACATTTATATGCCAAAAAAAGGAACCTCAATCTAAACCAACTCCTTTATGCAAAAACGAACTCAAGGCCCTGCATCGAGAGTCTTAGGACCCCTTTCCAAGAGACTATCGTGCTCAACAAGAATCACTCAAAGGGTGGCAGAGTGATCAAGAACACCAAGAACATCCTAATGTCCTACGTCCATGTGGAACTTACATTCAATGACAAGAAGAATGTGCCAGAGTCCTTCAAAGGGACCAAGAAAGGCATCGTCTACCTTACCCCTTACCGATCATCTTTCTGTCCAAGAAGAAGAACTCCATGAAGCCTTCGTGATGCCTTTTCACCTGATGAAGGACTGTGAGATCAACTAGCCTGTTTGCTGCCAACTACTTCAAAAGAACAGTGAAGGGTGAAGCGGGAGATGGCTGGGAGGGCTGGGGTTCATACAAGTTAACCTTACAGCAGTTTGGACAATGAATGCTCCAGGTGGCATTTCAAGCCTCCAGGGGCGAGGCCCCCAATGGAGGCTACGGGTACTCTTACATACCCAACAGAGCCTATGTCTTTCCTCTGCCAGTTGCCAATGGAATGTACCTTTGCCCTCCTGGCTACCCCAATCCACAGTCCCCATCTGAGTTCTATCCAGGACCTCCCATGATGGATGGAGCTATGGGATGCCTGCAATCCCTGCCACTGCCCTATCTGGGCTCATGGAACCTCTGGTCAGTGGCCCCATTGGCCCCTCTGCTCTGGCAGCCAAAGCCAGAGCCACAGAAGCAGTTGTCAGTGCCAGGCAACCCACACAACACCTACATACCTAGGAACCAGCCTCTGCCACTACACTATTACAGCCCCCTCCTCTGAAAATAAGAAGACCCAGTAGACTCCCTCCCACCTCCCTGTTTCCCACCCTCTTTGCCCATTCTTACCCCTCCCCTTGGGGCAGCATCAGAGGCTAGGGGAGGCGATGGAGGGCCTTGTTCCTCCTCCAAATCTGACTGTAAAGTTACCAGCAACTGGTGATGAAGGAAGAGAGAGGCCCCTGGCCCCCAGCTTTCCACACTAGCTCAGAATCCAGGGCGCTGCTCAGCCGTGCTCCCCGTTACCATCTTTAGGGCTGTCCTCTGGGGCACGGGTGTCCCCCCTTGTTCTATTTTTGCTCTAGTAGCTTTACATGGAGGAGGCTCTCCAGCCACCTCCTCCTTCACAGTCCATCCAGCTCCCTTGGTCTGGCAGCCACTTTACACTCAACCTCCTGAGCTGTGTTATCTTCCCCGAGGACCTCCCCAGGCCCTCCTCACATGCCTTCCCCTGGTCTGTGCCAAGCTGTGGGAGGCCAACATCCAGAAACTGTGAGCCCACATTCCCTTCCCCGCCAGGCTCCAGCCCCAGGCACACTGGCGAAGAGCTCCAGGGGTTGGGTGTTATCAGGAGCAAGGTCACCGCAGCTGGGGAGGAAGCCCCTGTACTTACCTGCTAGTGTTTCTGGGATTTCTTTCCTATGGCTTTTCTCCTCTCCCTTCCATCTAGAAGGGGCTTCTCAACTGGGACAGGAGAATGCATGTCTGTCCCATCATGGATTTGAGGGCCACTAGGTGGGCTGGGAGAAGGGTCGCTGAAGCCTGGGTCCTGGCCTGGCCCTGTGGGATGCCCATGGCCTGCTGGCCACTCAGCCTGCACTCTCCCTTTAAGCTTCATGCCTGGTTGGTGATATGCTCCCTGGATGCACAGAAATTTGCTCTCATTTTTTCCCAGACTAAGTGTGAAGTGAGGAGATGGTTATTTAAAGATAATTCTCTATTTGACAAAAATCCAGTTAATATATTAATATAAAATTTAAAAATAGGTCAGGTGTGATGGCTAACGCCTGTAATCCAAGCACTTTGGGAGGCCGAGACAGGTGGATCACCTGAGGTCAGGAGTTTGAGACCAGCTGACCAACATGGTGAAACCCTGTCTCTACTAAAAATACAAAAATTAGCCAGGCATGGTGGCATGTGCCTGTAGTCCCAGCTACTCAGGAGGCTGAGGCAGGAGAATCGCTTGAACCCAGGAGGTGGAGGCTGCAGTGAGCCGAGATCATGCCACTACATTCCAGCATGGGTGACAGAGCGAGACTCCGTCTCAAAGCAAACAAACAAAACAAAACAAAAAAACTTACCTAGGAAAAGAAACACCCAATTAAAAATGGGCAAAAGTCTTGAAAAGACACTATGCCAAAGAGAATATATGGAAGGCAAACAAGCACATGAAAAGATGTTCAATATTCTTAGTCAATAGTGAAATGCAAATTAAAACCATAATGAGATATCACTACACACCTATTAGAGTTGCTAAAATTTTAAAAATACTGTCAAGGCCAGGCGTGGTGGCTCACGCCTGAAATCTCAGCATTTTGGGAGGCCGAGGTGGGTGGATCACCTGAGGCCAGGAGTTTGAGACCAGCCTGGTCAACATGGCGAAACCTCGTCTCTACTAAAAATACAAAAAATTAGCCGGGTGTGGTTGTAGGTGCCTGTAATCCCAGCTACTCGGGAGGCTAAGGCAGGAAAATCACTTGAACCCGGAAGGTGGAGGTTGCAGTGAGCTGAGATCATGCCATTGAACTCCAGCCTGGACAAGAGCAAAACTCCGTCTAAAAAAAAAAAAAAAAAAAACAGAAAAAAAGAACTGTCAAATACCAAGGGCTGGAAAGAATAGGGGCAACAGGAACTTTTACACATTGCTAGTGGGAAAGCAAAATGGTACAGCTGCTCTGGAAAACTTAACCATACACTTACCATATGACCTAGTATCCCCACTCTCTTAAGTATTTACTCTAGAAAAATGAAAACTTCACGAAAACGTAAGTGTACATGAATGCTTATAGAAGCTCTAGTTATAATCACCAAAATCTGAAAATAACTCATGTTCTTCAGTAGGTGAACTGATTAATGCAACCACAATGTATCTATACAGTGGAATAATACTCAGCAATAAAAAGGAACAAACTATTGACACATGTAACAACTTATATGAATCTCCAAGGCATCATGCTGAAGGACCCAATCTCAAAAGGTTACATACTGTTTTATTCCACTTATATGACATTCCTGAAAAGAAAAAAATAAAACAAAACTATAGTAATAGAGAATAGATCATTGGTTATCAGAGGCTGAGGTGGGAGTGGCTCTGACTACAAAGAGTAGCACTGACCAAGGGAGATTTCTGAAGTGGTGAAACTGGTCTACCTCCTGATAGTGGCTGTGGCTATATGAATCTATTTACAAGTTAAAATTCATGGAACTGGCCAGGCGCAGTGACTCACACTTGTAACCCCAACACTTTAGTGAGTGGATCACTTGAGGTCAGGAGTTCGAGATCAGCCTGGCCAACATAGTGAAACCCCGTCTCTATTAAAAATACAAAATTTAGCCAAGTGTAGTGGTGCACACCTGTAATCCTAGCTACTCAGGAGGCTGAGGCAGGAGAATCGCTTGAATCTGGGAGGTGGATGTTGCAGTGAGCCGAGATTGCAACACTGCACTCCAGCCTGGGTGACAGAGCAAGACTCCATCTCAATAAAATAAAATCGATACAACTGTATACACACACACAAAAATTCTATGAGCCTGAATTGCAAACTAATCCTTACAAACAAACCCACTTTGTTAATCTGATATTCCCCAAAAGCATAATCAAATCACAATTATTCAAAAATGAATTGTCTATATTTTGTTAAGACTTTGCTTCCAAATTCCCAATGGCATTAATAGACATATTTGTTTACTGTAGCTCAGCAAGTATTAGAAAGAACTTTTCAACCAAAAGAAATAGAGCTCTCTCCTGTGGAATCGCATATGCGCTGCAAGTTTGTTGAGAGAATTAAATGCAATAATGAACGTAGTAAAGTGCTAAGCTTCATACCTGGCATATGGTGAGCTCAATAAATGTTAGCTATGATATTATTATCAGTTATGTAAATCAGTTAAAAACAACAACAGTTCTTCACTGTTTGGTGCACTGCATCATTCCAGAGAGGTATGAGGTCCATTCCCAACAAGTATGGAGAGGAGAAGAGAGACAGGAACAGGCCAGGAAACAGAAAACTTCCCAGCAAGAGCCAAGCCATGCCTTCACAGAAGTGTCCGCTTCACTCAGCTATGTGTAACCACAGCTCCCAATGACCAATTACTCAGAAGGAAACATCAGAGACTGTAAGAAACACTTTGGTTTTTACTGGATACATTAAATGTGCTCACTTTGTGTGTCTGTGTCACATTTTGGTAATTCTTGCAATATTTCAAGCTTTTTCATTATTATTTTATCTGTTATATTGACATGAACCACATCCATATAAGACAGCAAACTTAACCCATAAACATGTGTGTTCTGACTACTCCACTGACCAGCCATTCCCCATCTCTTTCTCCTTGGGCCTTCCTATTCCCTGACATAAGACAATATTGAAATTAGGCCAATTAGTAACCCCACAGTGGCCTCAAAGTGTCCAAGTGAAAGAATCGTACTTTCAAGGAAAGGAAGAAATGATTAAGCATATGCCAAATTAGCCAAGTTAAGTTAGCTAAGTTAGCCAAATTGTGAATGCAAAGGAAAAGTTCTTGAAGAAAATTAAAAGTGCTACTCCATTGACACATGAATGATAAGAAAGCGAAACAGTCTCATTTCTGACATGAAGAAAGGTCTGGATAGAAGATCAAACCAGCCAAAGCCTAATCCAGAGCAAGGGCTCTCTTTGATTCTTTTTTTTTTTTTTTTTTTTGAGACAAAGTCTCTTTCTGTTACTCAGGCTCCAGTGCAGTGGCGCGATCTTGGCTCACTGCAACACCTGCCTCTCACGTTCAAGCGATTCTCCGCCTCAGCCTCCCGAGTAGCTGGGACTACGGGCATTCGCCACCATGCCCAGCTAATTTTTGTATTTTTAGTAGAGACGGGGTTTCACCATGTTGGCCAGCCTGGTCTCGAACTCTTGACCTCAGATGGTCCACTTGCCTTGGCCTCCCAAAGTGCTGGAATTACAGGCGTGAGCTACCACACCCGGATGCCTCTCTTCAATTCTATGAAGGCTGAGAGAGGTGAGAATGCTGCAAAAGAAAAGTTTGAAACCAGCAGAGGTTAGTTTATGAGGTCGAAGGAAAGAAGCCATCTCCATAACATAAAGTGCAAGGTGAAGTAGCAAGTGCTGATGTCTTTAACTGAATGCAGCAAGTGATCCAGCAGATCTAGCTAAGATCATTGATAAAGGTAAACTAAACTAAAACATAGATTTTCAACATAGACAAAATAACCTTATAGAAGAAACCTTGCATTAGAATTTATAAAAACACACAAATTTATTGATCACAGTTCTGGAGGCTGAAGATCTAAGATTAAGGTGCTGGCAGGTTCAGTGTCTGGTGAGAGCTGCTCTCTGCGTCCAAGATGGCACCTTGTTGCTGTGTCCTCCGGAGAGGATGAATGCCTTGTCCTCATACGCTGGAAAGGACAAAAGGGCCAAAAGGCCTAGCTAGCTCCCTCCAGCCCTCATATAAACTCGCTAATCTCATTCACCTCCTAAGGGCCCGACTTCTTAATATTATCACATTGATGATTAAGTTTCAGTGCATGAATTTAAAAGGGGCACATTCAGACCATAGCAGCTATCGTATTAAAACTTCATATACTTTTCTAGAAATTTCATTGCTTGAGGCAGGGTTCGGAAGAGGGAAACCTATGCTCTTGGCAGCTACGGTGACATGGCAAAGAATGGCACATCAGAGCCAGTGTTCCTGAGTTCAGATCATGGCCTGTCACTTGGTACCCATGTGCTCTGGACAAATGATCTGACCTCTCTTTGATCCACGTGCCCCATCAGTAAAATAGGGGTATAATATAATAGGAACTGCCTCAGTAGGGTTGTTAGAAAGATTCAGCAGTTAAGGCACGTAAGGTATTTAGAACAGTGTCTGGCACTCAATAAATGTTGTTATTTTCACTTTAAATTATAGGCTTAATCTCTACTAAGGTCGATAATTCATTTGATAACTCCAATCTTCTGCATTCCACCTGAAGGGGCCTATCTTATGTGACATCTTTTTATCCCATATATACCAATTCTGGTTAGGAATGCTGCATAATTGCTTTGTATACTTTGTAAATATTGCAGTTAATTCTAACATATCTTATATTTGAGACATTAGCTAGTAATTGGGAGAATTAAGTAGTATTAAGTTTCATTATCCTATTTTATGATTTCATTAATGTGGATTTTAGTTTAGTTTAGTATAAATAAGTATAAAAGTAAATATTACCCAAATTTTAGGCTATCTTCTAGTATATTATACCTACAGGTTGAAGATAGAAAAAATGAAATTCAAACTTGTTTACTAAATATCTATTTAAATCCTATAGCAATCTGCTTTCTTTATGCTCTTACCAAAAATAATGCTGGGTCAAGAGAACTCAGAGATTTCTTCACTCTGCCTATTATTGGCCCTGTAGGATTAACTCCTAATTAGGTTAAGATTAACTATTAATTTGGTTCTCCAATTTGGGTGATCAGTTTTTGTTTATACTCCCTGTATTTTATAAAATTATTATTATTATCATTATTATTTTTTGAGACAGAGTCTCGCTCTGTCGCCAGGCTGGAGTACAGTGGCGCAATCTTGGCTCACTGCAACCTCTGCCTCCCGGGTTCAAGCAATTCTCTGCCTCAAACTCCCAAGCATCTAGGGACAGGCACCCACCACCACACCCAGCTAAATTTTTTGTATTTTTAGTAGAGACGGGATTTCACCATCTTGGCCAGGCTGATCTTGAACTCACGACCTTGTGATCCAGCCGCCTCGGCCTCCCAAAGGGCTGGGATTACAGGCATGAGCCACCATGCCCGGCCTATAAAATTATTTTTATTTATTTTTATTTATTTATTTATTTATTTTTTTATTTTTTGTGATACAGATAACGTTTATTAATTTGTTTTGCCACATGTCAGGCACTGTTGGAAGCATTTTACATTTTTTTTTAAATTTTTTAATTTTTAATTTTATTATTATTATACTTAAAGTTTTAGGGCACATGTGCACAATGTGCAGGTTAGTTACATATGTATACATGTGCCATGCTGGTGTGCTGCACCCATTAACTCGTCATTTAGCATTAGGTGTATCTCCTAAAGATATCCCTCCCCCTCCCCCCACCCCACAACAGTCCCCAGAGTGTGATGTTCCCCTTCCTGTGTCCATGTGTTCTCATTGTTCAATTCCCACCTATGAGTGAGAATATGCGGTGTTTGGTTTTTTGTTCTTGCAATAGTTTACGGAGAATGATGATTTCCAATTTCATCCATGTCCCTACAAAGGACATGAACTCATCATTTTTTATGGCTGCATAGTATTCCATGGTGTATATGTGCCACATTTTCTTAATCCAGTCTATCATTGTTGGACATTTGGGTTGGTTCCAAGTCTTTGCTATTGTGAGTAATGCCGCAATAAACATACGTGTGCATGTGTCTTTATAGCAGCATGATTTATAATCCTTTGGGTATATACCCAGTAATGGGATGGCTGGGTCAAATGGTATTTCTAGTTCTAGATCCCTGAGGAATCGCCACACTGACTTCCACAAGGGTTGAACTAGTTTACAGTCCCACCAACAGTGTAAAAGTGTTCCTATTTCTCCACATCCTCTCCAGCACCTGTTGTTTCCTGACTTTTTAATGATTGCCATTCTAATTGGTGTGAGATGGTATCTCATTGTGGTTTTGATTTGCATTTCTCTGATGGCCAGTGATGGTGAGCATTTTTTCATGTGTTTTTTGGCTGCATAAATGTCTTCTTCTGAGAAGTGTCTGTTCATGTCCTTCGCCCACTTTTTGACGGGGTTGTTGGTTTTTTTCTTGTAAATTTGTTTGAGTTCATTGCAGATTCTGGATATCAGCCCTTTGTCAGATGAGTAGGTTGCGAAAATTTTCTCCCATTTTGTAGATTGCCTGTTCACTCTGATGGTAGTTTCTTTTGCTGTGCAGAAGCTCTTTAGTTTAATTAGATCCCATTTGTCAATTTTGTCTTTTGTTGCCATTGCTTTTGGTGTTTTATACATGAAGTCCTTGCCCATGCCTATGTCCTGAATGGTAATGGCTAGGTTTTCTTCTAGGGTTTTTATGGTTTTAGGTCTAACGTTTAAGTCTTTAATCCATCTTGAATTAGTTTTTGTATAAGGTGTAAGGAAGGGATCCAGTTTCAGCTTTCTACATATGGCTAGCCAGTTTTCCCAGCACCATTTATTAAATAGGGAATCCTTTACCCATTGCTTGTTTTTCTCAGGTTTGTCAAAGATCAGATAGTTGTAGATATGTGGCATTATTTCTAAGGGCTCTGTTCTGTTCCATTGATCTATATCTCTGTTTTGGTACCAGTACCATGCTGTTTTGGTTACTGTAGCCTTGTAGTATAGTATATAAAATTATTTAAAGCAGTTTACCATTAAAAACATATATACAATAAGGCTAATCAAAACGTTTAAAAGTGAGAATTAGATGAAAAAAATCTAGGTTAGTTTTTTTATACTTAAGCATAGCCGCAGAGCTTCTTAACAGTCAAGGCAGAAATAAAAATGTGTAATTCTACTGCCTGATTCATATCACAAGAGAAAGAATTTTTGAGGTGATAAATTCAGAGATATTTATCTCATGTTTCTTTACCCTAAGAATATAGATCTACATAATGAGTCATATCGTCAATGATATTTTTGGAGTATGCAGAACATTATTAATGATAATTGCTTATGTTTATGTATGTACTCTATATCAATATAATCTTAACATAAATTTTACAAATATCATGAATTTAATACTAAAACTTTCAGCAGAGCTGACTAGAATATTGATTTTCTAATACCTAATTCAGCAATTTTTCCATTTTCCACCATACTATCCTGTAACTACTATTTATGGAAGAGAATTTGACATTGTAATCACACACACATGGGTAAATCTTTCACGATGCACCCAACATATATGCACGCACACACACCTTTGCCAGGACCAACAATCCTACTAAAACAGGAAATGAGTCCTTTCAGTAAAGAAAAATTATCCCATTAATTAAGTTCTTAGAGACACAGCATCTGTCAAACTGATCATTTACTATATTTTGGGTTGGTTATCCTTGTATATTTCTCATGGTCCATCATGTCATAACTGTTCTAAGTTACATGATCTCTCTTCCAATCACTGTACATCAGTTAATGCTTATAGTACAAAAAATAAAACTGAGCCTAAAAGGAAATCAAATCTGAGATTTCAACTTAATACCAACCATTAAAAGTGTGTATCAATACACCAAAAAATAGAATTTATTCCTATTCTCCTTTTATGTTAGCTCTAAATGTTAATAATAATTCTCTTAGGTACAGCAAAATAAAATGTATCTGCTGGATTAAAAACAAAAACAAAAACTCAGGGTTATAGTAATATCACCAGCTCTCACTCATCAGAAAGAACATTAACAAATACATTATTGGCACACATAGAAGACAAAGAAACACAAGATCTTTTTTTTCTTTTAGTTACCTGACAAATCTGAATAAACACATTCATAGGCTAAAGTGCCTCAAGCTGTTTTAGATCAAAAATACCTAAATGTGGATATAACAAGTTATTCTCTTACTGCAAATCTACTATGTAAAATGCATAAAAATTGAAGAATCACAACCAATTGATTTATTCAGGAGATCATGGTGCTTATAGCAATGTCCCAATTGTGAGCCTTCCTCAGCTTTGGGCAGGCCAAAAAATCTAAATTAGTGGTTCTTAATATGTGGTTTCCAGAGCAGCAGCCCCCACATCACCTGGGAACTTGTTAGAAATGCAAATTATTGGGTCCTACCTCGATCTACTGAATCAGAATCTCTGCGAGGGGGCCCCGTGTTCATGGTCTGATGAGTTCTCCAGGTGATTCAGATGCTCCTTCAAGTTTGAGAACTGATCTGAATGAAAGGCCCCTCAAATTTTTTTTCTTTTGCTGCCTCCATTCATTCCTAACTTGTAACTTCATGCTTAATTAATTAACTTCTGCCATGCATCATAAATCTACTCATTGGAACTGCCTTCAAGCGTGGCTGTGTAAGTGAGGATGCTCCATTAATCATCACCACGTTGACTCACACAGAAAAGCATCTGTGGATTCCCTGCCCCATCCTCAACCTTGGCTGTTCTTGGCTCAGCTGCAGCTGCTACACACAATGGGGATTGCAGCTTTCAGAGGATCCATCCAACTGGCCATCAAGAATACTCGACTCATTGGTCACATTCTTCTCCATAAACCACCTGCATGCGTGTGCACACGGTCCTCACGTTGCCCATGCCACATCCTCTCTGCCAACTTGCACATGACCCTGCTGCTCACGGCTGCTGAGGTTGCTCCCTGCAAATGTTTGGTGACTTCCTTAATCCAGAATGGTGGGCTTTGGCTCCACATGACCCTCTGTCCACTTCTGCAATGGATGCTGGATTGTGCCACTGCACTCCAGATTGGGC
This sequence comes from Homo sapiens, assembly GCF_000001405.40. Lineage (NCBI taxonomy): Eukaryota > Metazoa > Chordata > Mammalia > Primates > Hominidae > Homo > Homo sapiens. Next base: position 32,217,756 of record NC_000012.12, on the reverse strand, counting down.
AATAGAGTGACACCCTGTCTCAGAAAGAAGGAACCAGAGAGTAGCTCTGTTTTTAACAGTTGTTCACGTTGGAGGGAAATGAGGAGGTCCTGGTATCCTGAAAACTGTCTCATCTTCTTCTTAGTACTCAACACTAACTTCCACTTCATTAGATCCTTTCTCTGTCTTCACAAGTCATATTGCTATATTTGGGCATATCCAAAGATAACGAGATAAGTAAACCTTATCTCATAAGTGACCTTGCTGTCAGTATTCATTTAGTTCATTGTAATATGGACATGTGTAAACGTAAATTATCTAGAAAATTCCAATAAATTCTGGACAACTTATATCTTATAATAGTGAAGCCCTATTTGTAATATGTCACTTATTTCAAATGTGGATTGCTTGTCTTATACTTTACAATATTGAAGAATATTTTCATCCTACATATTTCTATCACTAAAATGCTCAACTAGTGAGCCCACTTGGTTGTGGACCTGTCAATGATCACTGCATTGGTGTAGGAGTTAGAGGACGTCTGCGTCTCTTCTATAGCTTTCATATCAAAATACGGAGTGAATGATTGAATATAGCTTCCAAAAATGTTCTTACAGGGGTTTGATGGATGAAGCTACTTTTGGCTATCTCTGTTTCCAACATCACCCCTCCACTAAAGGATGACTCTGCCAGTTTGAAAATGATATGGCAGGTGATGCTGCCTTGGAAAAGCTAACAAGGAATACTGAGTTTGGTGGATGCTCAACACTCACAGAGCAAGAGAGACTCCCTGACCTAATTCATACCAGCCATAATTTGCTGCCTTCTCTATAACCAGAAAAATCCTTTGGGGATCTGCATCACCAGACTCAAAGACTTCTCAGGACACTCGCCTAGGCTGTCATTCCCTATGAGCAGTGTCCTGAGCCAACACCACTGTCAGCTGGAAATCAGGCAGATACAGAGCATTACAGCCAACCGTTCTTCTCCACATTGTATTAAACCAGCTAATGCAGGGAGGAAGTGCTAAGGTCACTGTATTTTTAAAATACCTTTGCAGAAATAGTAAGGCCAATTCCGAAGTCCGCAATACATACAAAACTTAATTTTCAAGAAACAATAAAAGAGAGAAAAGCTCATCTCAGAACAAGCTAGCTATCATTTCACTAAAAAAGAAAAGTTGCTAGCTCAGTATTAGTAGTTTCGTGCTTAATACAGCTCCTCTGATTAAAACAAAAGTGTTATTCCTCTCTGCTATGGAGAGAACTTTCTTATTTCTCCCTCTCACAAATCTCTCATAGGGAATTTGTTTATTTACCTCCTTCAGATCCTGCACGACTGCGGTGAGCCTCTCGTTTTCTGCCTGTACATTAGTGACCACAGCCCGGCTCTGTTTCAGCTCGTTCTGCATCTCCAAGATCTTCCCCAGATAGTAAGCCTCCTTCGATGCTGACTCCTGCAGAAGCGTTTCCTCCCGAGTCTCTCCATCTTCAGCAACCTTCCGGTGGATGGAGAAGGACTGCCCAAATGCCTGCAGAGTATATGGGAAGAAAAAGAGTACACAATGAAATGCATCATAACCCTCTTTTAAGACTTGGGAAAATGTTTTCTTCTGCTTATATGTGTAAGAAAAGCTACCCTGCAAGACCCCCGAAATATAACAGTCTAGCAGCTCTCACTGATGCTTGAAATAATTCAATTCGCTTAATAAGGAAAAATAAAATTTTAAAATATCTTGTGAAAAAAAGATGTAATGCATTAAAGAAAACTTGAAAAACATTGTTACTTGCTTTATGTTCTCCTTTTTTTTTTTTTTTTTTTTTTGAGACGGAGTCTCGCTCTGTCGCCCAGGCTGGAGGGCAGTGGTGCAATCTCGGATCACTGCAAGCTCCGCCTCCCGGGTTCACGCCATTCTCCTGCCTCAGCCTCCCGAGTAGCTGGGACTACAGGTGCCCACCAACACGCCCGGCTAATTTTTTTTTTTGTATTTTTAGTAGAGACGGGGTTTCACCTTGTTAGCCAGGATGGTTTCGATCCCCTGACCTTGTGATCCGCCCGTCTCAGCCTCCCAAAGTTCTGGGATTACAGGCATAAGCCACCGCGCCTGGCATATGTTCTCATTTTTTTAGACAACTCTTATCAAGAAATAGTTCAGTGTTAATAAGCCCATCAAAATTCATGTCACCTTCATTTTTTAAAAAATCTCACAAATATTTTACAAAAAAGAAAACAATCATTTAGTGTGCTTTCTAATACATTGGCATTAAGGACAGATCAATTATAAACAGTATCCTTAAGAGTTAAAATTACCAAACAGCATTTAAATTGCCCAGTACCACACAAAAAAAGACACTGAATATCATCTCTGTATAAGAAAACATATATGTGCCTGTTTATTTGTGCAAAAAGAAATACAGAAGAAAAAAGTAGAAACTAAACTGGTCACTTACGGGGTAGATGGGAAGAATGGGAGACTGAAACGTGACAGAAGGGATGAGGTGGAATGACACTTTTCTGAAATGCCTTTTCACATGGTTCTTTTTTCTTTTTGAGATGGAGTCTAGCTTGCCACCCAGGATAGAATGCAGTGGTATGATCTCGGCTCACTGCAACCTCTGCCTCCTGGGTTCAAGCAATTCTCCTACTTCAGCCTCCCATGTAGCTGGGATTACAGACGCCCATCACCATGCCCAGCTAATTTTTGTCCTTTTAGTAGAGAAGGGGTTTCACCTTGTTGGCCAGGCTGGTCTCAAACTCCTGACCTCAAGTGATTCAACCACCTTGGCCTCCCAGAGTGCTGGGATTACAGGCATGAGCCACCACGACCGGCCCCTTTTCACAGAGTTCTGACTCTGAGAACAATAATCATGTTTCACATCCCCCTAATAAAGAATAATTAAAACCAACCTCTCGGTGTTGGGGGAACCCAAAATGGAACACGAACAGTAACAAAAGAACCTAGCTGTATTACAAGTAAAAAACAACAGCCACCATGAAAGAGGTAAGAAAGAAAATATCTAACCTAATTTTGGAAACCAGTACTTTTATTATATACCTTAAGACTAAAGACAAAAAGGACTGCACCTGGATGCTATATAGTCTTGTTGGTAAACTTGTTTCTCATAGAGATTATGGAAATCACAGTTCTGAAACTTCTTTACATATATACTAGGGTTGAGCAAATAAGTAAATATATTGTAGATAATGAATGCCAGGTTTCTAACTGTTGGAGAAAAAGCCACGAGTAAGGAAAGAGATATCTAAAAGGAAACTAGTGGTATTGAATTGTAAGTGGAAGTATTAATAAGTAGATAAACTTATTGTTTTTAATAGGTAGATAGTCATAGGCATATAGATATGGAGAGAGAGGGAGAGAGAAACATGTGTCTGGATATACAGACACATTATTTCCTAGCACTGTAAGCTGAGAGGGCCTAGAAGCAATGATATACCAGTAGCAATGAGCATATCCAGCACCCAGATTTTGTTTCTAAATACCAGTCTACAGTAAAAAGAACTAGGGTCTTTGGAGAAGTTACTGATTCTAGGGCTGGAGCAAAATAAGCCAGACACATCTTGTGATGCCAGAGTTACAACATGCATTTAAAAGATAATGAGGATATGTCAAAAGGAGACAGGAGCCTGTCTGAAGGGGCTTCCAATGGCCAAATCTGAGATATTTTGAGAAAAAAATTATAGTAACTAATTATATATCCACATTAACATAATAAATCAATAAATAGCAGAAGAAAGAACAGCTCTTCCTTACAGTAGAATTACAATAATATAGAAGGAATGATGGAAATAAAATATATCAGCATTTAGCAAACACTAATAACTGTTACAGGTAAGAATCATCAATAGTATCTAAAATTAATGGGCAAAAGTATGATGAGAAACAGGATGTTTGCAGAGTCTTAAAGCATCTCCCCACAAAGTACTTATTAATTCTAATGGGAAGAACAGTAACTTTGCAGTGGAGAAACCTGGTAGACACCACATTATCTAAGTGACCAAAACTTAGATCAACAGCAATGAGACATACTGACATCATGTACCCTCTCATATAATACACTGGGGGCCGGGTGCGGTGGCTCACATCTGTAATCCCAGCTTTTTGGGAGACAGAGGTGGGAGACAGATCATCTGAGGTCAGGAGTTCAAGACCAGCCTGGCCAACATGGCAAAACCCTGTCTGTACTAAAAATACAAAAATTAGCCAGGCGTGGTGGTGTGTGCCTGTGGTCCCAGCTACACGGGAGGCTGAGGCAGGAGAATCACTTGAACCCGAGAGACGGAGGTTGCAGTGAGCTGAGATTGTGCCACTGCACTCCAGGCAGGGCAACAGATGGAGACCCCTTCTCCAAAACAAAAACAAAAACAACAACAACAAAAAACATTGGGAAGGGCACAACATCACTTCAGTGGTATTGTTGTCAAAAATGCATAAGCTAATTCTTATCCTAAGAAAACATCAGACAAACCCAAACTGGGGACATTGTACAAAATCACTGGTCGGGACTCTTCAAAAGTATTAAGTCGTGAAAATTATAGAAAGACTCCTCCGGACTAGATGAGACTAACAAGACGTGACAAGTAAGTGTTGTATGGGATTCTAGATTGGATCCTGGACTTTAAAAAGGACACTAGTAGGACAATCGGCAAACTGAAATAAGTTATTTAGGTTAGTTAGTGATGCTATTGTATCAACGTCAATTTCTGTTTCCTTCACTGTACTATGATTATGTAAGATGGTAACATCTGGGGAAGCTGTATCAAGGGTACATGAAAATCAGTGTAGTATTTTGGGGCAACTTTTTTCTAAGTCTGAAGTTATCAGAAAGTTTTGTTATTTCAAACAAAAAGTTAAAAAATAAATAAATGTAGTCTCTGCCTTAAAAGAGTTGATAGATTTGGTGAAACACTGGCACACAGAGTTATATAAGAACATAAGGACATGAACACCAAGGAGATACTATATTCAATGAGAAGTACGGTGGCTTTCTGGCATAACTTGTGATTTTATTACATTTTGAAATTTAAAATGTCACGGTAGGCTGGACACGGTGGCTCACGCCTGTAATCCCAGCACTTTGGGAGGCTGAGGTGGTGGATCACTTGAGGTCAGGCGTTCGAAACCAGTCTGGCCAACGTGGCAAAACCCCGTCTCTGTTAAAATACAAAGATTAGCTGGGCGTGCTTGTGCATGCCTGTAATCCCAGCTACTTGGGTGGCTGAGGCAGGAGAATCACTTGAATCTGGGAGATGGAGGTTGCAGTGAGCCGAGATCATGCCACTGCACTCCAGCCTGGGCAACAAAGCAAGACTCTGTCTCAAAAATAAAATAAAATAAAATGTCACAGCATATTGCTTCTGGGCTACGCTATCATCTATGAAAAGATTAGGCTGGAATTAACCTGTGAAACTTAGTTTCACATTTGTTATAAACCTTAAGGCAGAAAAGATTATGTGTTAATCATTGTAAGAAACAACTTATAAAAAACAAGCTGGTACTCCTCCCTAAATTACACTCACAGAAACAGAAATTAAAACAAAAACAAAAACAAAAAAACACTGAAAACCCATGTCTTAGTTAAACTGCCTTAGAATCTTGACACGGATCAAAATCAAAAGATGGTCCCTAAGCATCAGTGAGACAGAAATATTCCAGTATCGATGTCCATCTGTACATACAGAGTAAAATATTCCTGGTGCCTGGCTTGTTCAGTCTCTCGACAGAAATTCTTATTTGAGTAGTCAGATTTCCAGATGTGGTGATAAGCACAGGTACTCATGAATAGATGAGAAATTATCTTTGCAGATGATGTTGACTTTGCTCTTGCATCAGTAATGATCAGATTCTGTGAGGTCAATTCTGAATTCAGTATCCATTAAAAGGCCTCTGGAGGGGAAGGTTCTGACAGCCTCTCTCCCTCTCCCCACAGTGGCCTGCTGAGTCTTCAACAGATCATCATCCTGCAAAGGATCCCTCACTATATAGTCAAGTATTAGTACAATTTAAAATTAGCATGAACTGTGTGTCAAGAACCCCAGCTGGCTTTTTTTTTTTTTTCACAACTGTTTCCCCATTTCTATGTACAGGAAACTGGAAATGTCTGTCACAGGGCCATTTTCTTCACTCTGCCTGAGTAAAAGCAATAATTTGGCCATTCTGTGGCTCTCGTATTTTTCGCAGCACACAGGCAATGCTCTCTTGGCAGCTAAAACAACCCCTAAAGTCTTAAGAGCAAGTGAATTTATTGTTCCACCCTTGATTTAAAGTTTTCAAAAATTGTACTCTGGATCTAGCACCAAAGGAGATAAACATTTCAGATGTAGACCCAGAATAGATTTTCAAAAAAGAATCAAGAATTGAAATTGCAAATATCCAAATGTTGATAAATCCTCCATTCATATTTATTCCAGTTTCAGAAACCTTAACTGAACATATGGGTTTCCAAAATTAGCCATGATATTTATGAAGAACTTGGCCCTTCACTGGACCTGATTTGAAAAACAATGAAAGTATATGAGGTTATCCAAGGACACTAACCATCATGTTTTTTACTTGAAATAGCAAAATAACACCAATCCTGCCCAAGCTAGAGGTGCCTCATGATCTGCATTTGCAAATCCACTGAGAACTAAGAACTAACACTACTCAGAAAATGGCTGCTTTTAAGAAAGGGAGGGTGAAGGAGAAAACACTCCTATTTTAATCTAATTCCTAATTGTCAGCAACTAGAATTGGGCATGACACCCAACTGACATCTATCATCTGGCTGCTTGTTAAAGCTGATTTACCCGACTCGTCTGGCTCCACCAGGTACCTCCTTTCACCATCACCTCCTGAGTATCTCCTGACAAAGCCAGGCCCAATAGAAAGGAAACAATGTTTTTCAAGGTTACTGAAGCTGCATCTTTGGCTGAAATCACAAAACTAGCTTCAATCTGTATTTATAGGAGATATAGGGTAGTCGTGCTTCTAGTTATATTTTGTTCAGATTGCAAATTCTTTTTAGGTACTGCAATCATTTCATGGGTAATTTTTGTTTAAAATAAGTTGAAGTAAACTGACATTTTTCTATATACTTTTAGAATGTATTATGATTTCCTATCATGTCTGTAGCTATAATTGCACAATATTACTTTTAGTATATTCCATTGCATGGAGCAAATTTGCTTTAAATTAGATGTGACTGTAAGTCCAGTTAGCTATGTAATAAGTACTTTGTTTTCTCCTTCTACTTACATGACTTCTTAATGCAAAGAAAATTGATATTTTCTGTGTTCATATTCAGGATGATACGTTAATTGATAAACAGAAATTTCGTACCCATTATTCTTCATAATATAAAAGATAAAAGAAATAAAATTTTGACTAGTATATTTAATATCATTTTATCTTTAAAATGTTCTCTTTGATCACAGAATTTTCGTTCTTTCATCTCAAAAACTGTGGCAGAACGTGTACTAGGTCACCCAGGGACATTAGACAAAATACTTTTGATTTGAAACTGCAAAATAATACTAAAATTCATTCATTCATTTGTTGTTCATTCACTCGGCAAGTATTTACAAAGCACTGTACTATGTCAGGCACTGCTTTAGGCACTGAGGATTCAGCTATGTTCTGGGAAAACAAAAAAAAAAAACTCTGTGATCCAGAGCATGTATTCTAGTGGAACATAAACAAATCAATAGGTGCATGGCATGGCATAGTGTTGAAAAAGTTAAGGCAAGAGCATAGGCTAGCAGTGCCCAGTGGAACTTTCTGCGATGACGTATCTGTGTTGCCAATATGCCCAGTTGCCACACATGGCTACTGAGCTTTTGAAATGTGGCTGGTATGACCAAAGTACTGAATTTTTTATTTTGTCATTTAATTAATTTTAATTGTCATATATGGCTAGTGACTACTATGTTGGACAGGGATAGAGGGCAACCCAGATGCGTTCGGTGGGAACCTCATATAGAAAGGGCAGTCAGGGAAGAGGTGACCTTTGGGCAGAGACTGGAACAAAGTGAGGGAGTGACCTAGAACCTGGCCTTTCCCTCAGAGAAGAAAGCTTAGATATAAGTGTTGCTAAGCAAGAATTACAGCACTGCCATGACGCCTCTTTAAAGACAATCACTGGCAGTTCTTTACAGTCTCTTCTAAAGTATTTTAAGATCTGAGTGCTCCAGAGGATATTCAGATATAATTTAACTTGTAGGAAGAAAAGGGTTGGCTAGTGGCCTGACATGGTACCCTATCCTCCCCAATGAACTAGTTTACTTTATTTGAACATATAACAAAAATTATCTGACCAATTACCTTTCTGTTGCCTCAGCTGCCAGGAAATTCAGCATTAAATGCTCAACAGCAATAACGAAAATACCTTAAGGTTTTGTATAATTATCTCTGTTTTCTCTACATTGTTCTGCATTTTTTTGTGTTTATCCCATTGTATTGGTTTCTTCTACTTCAAATATTTTTGGAGTAGAAAGCATATGAGTTATAATCACATCAAATGGTTAAAATGATGCTTAATTACTGTTTGTTTTAAATGAAGTATTAATAAAAATCCTTATTAAGGCATGGAATTTGAGAGTTTAAGAGGTATGAAAGCTCTTCTAATGATTCATCCTTATTCCACTGAAAAACACTGAGCCCAGACTGGGCGCGGTGGCTCACGTCTGTAATCCCAGCAGTTTGGGAGGCTGAGGCAGGTGGATCACCTAAGGTCCACCTGACCAACATAGTGAAACCCCATCTCTATTAAAAATACAAAAATTAGCCGGCTGTGATGGCAGGTGCTTGTAATCCCAGCTACTCTGAAGGCTGAGGCAGGAGAATCGCAGGAGAATCGCTTGAACCCAGGAGGCAGGGTTGCAGTGAGCTGAGATTGCACCACTGCACTGCAGCCTGGGCAACAACGTGAGATACTGTCTCAAAAAAAAAGAAAAAAATAAAAAGAAAGAAAACACTGAGCCCAAATGATCTGATGAAGCACAAAAAATAGGAAGAACCTAGCTAAACATGTTAGAACTGACTGAGAAGTGTCTCTCAAACTACTGCTGCATATTCCAGCAGCAAAGAGTCTTAGAGAGTAGATTCAATTAGAAAAGAAGAGCTCACAGGAGGCCAGGCAACTCAGAAGTACCCAGCCAGGAGAAACCAGTTTCCATGATGCGTATGGCTCAAAAGTTAATAGGAGACATGAGGCCTCCCTGACAGACTCAAGCCTGATCCTTGAAAGGGCAGATGTACTCATAAAAGGCCAAAAGAGGTTAAGAGTGTGGGCTCCTGAGGTGGACCAACTCTGCCACTTACTGTGTGACATTGGGCAAATTACATAACATTCTGTGACTCCATTTTTTCATCTGTAAAATGGGGATAATAATAGCTTCTTTCTCATACTGCCACGAGGCTTAAAAGAGAAAATCTATGTATCACTTGGAACAGACCTTGGTATAAATATAGTAAGTACTCAATGACTGTTGGCTATTATTAGCAGAAAGACGACGTGCTTTGGAATCAAATCCATTGGGGTTTAATGCAAATGCATCTGGGTTTAAATCTGCCTCCTCTGAAATGTTTGGCAAGGTTTTTAAGTTCTATGTTTCAGTTACCTCATGTGTAAAATGAGAATAATAACATCTACCTTAAAGGTAAAAACAGCCTAGTCCTAAAAGGCAAGGATATCAGATAAGAGATATAAAATTCGTACCAAAATGCCTTGGACACAGTAAATGCTTATTAAATATCAATACCAATCCTCCTCTCTTCTGACCTTGGAAAGTCTCAGATTGAACACTGGCAAGCTGTTGCTTCCTCTGGTGTAAAGGTTTTCCTTGGACTTATCCAAGAATCAGGTGGCCGTTTACCTCATTATGAGAGCAGCTCCCTACTCATTTGTGAAACACTAAACCTCCTGCTAGGAAAGGAGTCCTGATGAATCTTTTTTCTCATTAAGTCATTAAAAATGTACAAAGACAAACACAGAGAAATTTCAAGAGGCATAGGCTCTTACGGTTTATATTAGCAAAGGTTGCAGCTTTTTCTTTTTTCTCTTAATGGGAATTTTCAATTCTTTCTTAACTTCTTCAGTTTTTCTAGCTTTTAACATAACTCCACCCAATTATAAAGTCCGTCCATTTGAGAAACACAGAATATCTAATTACCAATTTTTGATTCTCATTTTGTATTCTGAAAACCATTTTTCAATAATCATAAAAACAAAAGACATGCATTTTAAATGAGATGTTTTTTTAAAAAAAATCTATCACATATTCTTAACTGATTTAATCATCACATTACATGCCTACCGAGTATCATTCAAATAAATAGCATATCATATTTTCCATACTTCTCAACTAAATATTCTGTGATAACCTGGTGTAATACCCCAAGTTTTTCTAAGATAATAGTCAATAGCCTATTACTTAGATTTATATTTACTTAAAGCCTGGATTTTTTTTCTAACCCTGATGGTTTGTAATTGGTACCTCTATTTGCTTAATAAACTCCCTTGTCAACTGTTGAGAGTTTTTTTGTATTTTGTGGTTACATATTGAATATGCACAAAAAATTTATGACAAAATATAAACACAAAATGTAACATTAAAATGAATTCCTATAGTTTAAGAACGGGACCAAGACCCACTAGCCTCAAAGGCCTCTGTCTGTCCTCCTTGGTCCTATCTCTCTCATTGTACCTTCGGCCACTCCCCAAGTAAACACTATCCTGCATTTTGTATCACCATTTTCTTTATAGTTTACCATATATGTATGTTTCTGTAAATAAAATGCTATTTAATATTGTAGTAAAATACTGTTTGTAAAATTCATATGATGAAATCCTTCCATATGCACTCTTTTGCAATTTGCTTTTGGAACTCAACTTTAAATTCCGTTTATTCATTCTGATTAATGTAGCTGCAGCTACATTAATGTAGTAGATAAACTGCAGCTACATCAATGTAGTTTTCATTGTTATAAAGTAGTCTACTGGATATATACTTCATATTAATAATCCATTCTCTTGACAATGGATGATTGGATTGTTTCCAGTCTTTTGCTATTATAAACAATGTAGCTGTGAACACTGTTGGGCATTTAACTTAGGCTAGTACTTTTCAAAATACATTTGCTGAAGGAAGAGTTTTCTTTCCTTCTTTCTTTTTTTTGAGAAGGAGTCTTGCTCTGTCTCCCAGGCTGGAGTGCAGTGGCGTGATCTCGGCTCACTGCAACCTCCATCTCCCAGGTTCAAGTGATTCTCCTACCTCAGCCTCCTGAGTAGCTGGGATTACAGGCATGCACCACCACACCCAGCTAATTTTTGTATTTTTAGTGGATATGAGGTTTCACCTTGTTGGCCAGGCTGGCCTTGAACTCCTGACATCAGGTGATCAGCCCACCTTAGCCTCCCAAAGTGCTGGGATTACAGGCATGAGCCCCTGCTCCCGGCCTGGGAGAGTTTTATTTCTAATCCTTGTGGGCTAATGCTTTTTATTTGTGAAATGCAATAAAAATAAATTACTATATGCATATTCCTACCATGCAATCCAACCATTCCACTCCTAGGTATTTATTTATCCAAGACAAATGAAAGCACGTGATCACATAAAGATTTACACACAAATGTTCATAGCAGCCAAAATGCAAACATTTCAAATATCCATCAATTGGTGAATAAAAAACCAAGTTGTGGCATATCCATACAATGGAATACTAATCGGCAATAAAAAGGAGTAAACTACTGACATATCCAACAACATGGCTGAATTGCAAAACATTATGCTAAGTAAAAGAAGCCAGACAAAAGCAAGAGTACATTCAGTAACATTCCATTTACATGAAATGCTAGAGAATGCAAACTAATCTATAGTGACAACAGGCAGATGAGTGGTTGCACTGGGGCGGGGACAGGAGTGGAGGATTATGAAGGGATGTGGAGGGCCAAATGGGAGAGATTACACAGGGATGAGAAAATACTTTAGAGAGTCATGGATATGTTCATTATCTTGGTTGTGTTGATGATTTCGCAAGTATATACATATGTCAAAATTGACATATAATATATTGCACATATTTAAAGAGTGCAAATTGATCACTTATACATCAACAAAGCTGTAAAATCATAAATATTAGAAAAATATGAGAAAAAAGCACAAAGTACAAGCCTCAATTTTTCCATTATAAAATTTGACATAAAATTATATTTCAGTAAATTTAATCAGAAGACAAAAGATTACAAAAACTGTACCATTATTCACTGAAAGTATGATTCATATAAACTTGCTGCAGATCTGTAGGAAATAATTTGCAAACCAGCGCTGGCCCCCAGGTACAATTTGAGTAGCATTATCCTAAGTCACATGTGCAAGAGTCTCTCAAGCAGTGGTTCTCAACCTTACGAACCCATTAGAATCACTTGGGGAGCTTTTTAAAAACAAAGACATAGAGATTCCATCTCCATTCTGAGTTAACTAATTTGGGAAAGAGATTCCCAAATATTCTCAGTTGAAGGGACACTACTAAGTGGCTCAATTTTTTCAGGGTTCTAGGCACCCCTAGAACAAATTCCTAACAATTCCATTTAAGTAGTTAGGTCCAAAAAAGTTAACAAGTCTTTTTTGTCCTAACAATGCAGTAGCTGTTTGAAAAATCTGTATGAAAATACCAAAGAAAAAAGTTTTATTTCATTCTTAAATAACCTCAATTACTTATTAATGGAATGTGTGCACTCGTTGGGCACTATACAACTTCTTAAACTTTGGAATCATATTGGACTCTATCACCCTTATTTCCTCTTCCATACTGATTTTCATGATATCTGCTTTTTGTTACAGCAACCACTGAAAATCCAGCTTCGCATAATAGAAAGGGATGATGCGTGGGGTAACATTGAGACTGAACTGAAGTGTCTTGAGCTAGTAATTCACACTGCGTTCAACAGATGCCAAGTATCACTGCATTCCCCTTGAACATTTAAGATATCCCATCGTCTTCTGTGAGTTTGCTGTGGTTCCCCAGGGCATCTTGGCATACCATTTGAGAATCACAGGTCTGGGGTAAGGGCCAGGTGTAAGTATTTCCAACATGCTCATTTTGGGATGCTAATATATTATGCCAGGCTTGAGAAGCATTGCTGTGGAGTGTGGGCAGTGTTGTGGATTACACACAGCTTCAACTCTTCCTGACAAGGCTGCAGAGTTCTCCAAAGTGGCTGTACTAATTCAACTGCCACCAGCAGTGTCTAAGGATTCCTGTTTGTGACTCTACATTGTTAGGGTTGTTTGTTAAGACTTAAAAATTTTGGCCGCCCCGGAGAGTGTGAAACAGTATCACCTGGTGCTTCTCATTTGCATTTCCCTGATTACTAATGAAGTTAAGTAGTTTCACATTTTTATTGACCATTCACATTTTCATTTTTTTTTTTTTTTGACAGGGTCTCCTCTGTTGCCCAGGTTAGAGTGCAATGGCATGATCACAGCTCATTGCAACCTCCACCTCCCAGGCTCAGGCAATCTTCCCACCTCAGCCTCCCAAGTAGCTGGGACCACAGATGTCTGCCACCACACCCAGTTAATTTATGCATTTTTTTGTAGAGATGGGGTTTCACCATGTTGCCCAGGCTGGCCTCAAACTCCTGGGCTCAAGCAATCCACCTGTCTAGGCCTCCCAAAATGTTGGGATTACAGGTGTGAGCCACCACGCCCAACCTCACATTTCCACTTCTGTGTAGTTTCTATTCAAGGCTTTTGTTCATTTTTCTCCAGAGTACCTTTTTCCTTTATTAATTTGTCAGTTACATGTATGGCAAGTATCTTCCTCAAGTATTTATGGGTTGTTTCTTAACTCATTTTACAGTGCTTTTGATGAAGAGAAGTCCCACATTCTAAAAGACAGGTTTCTGTTTCCTAATTGTTAGTTACATGTTATTGTGCCAGACCCCTATTGAGTTGGATAGGGATAGCACAGGTTCGAGAGGCCAAAGAAGAGAGGCCAAAGAAGAGACCGAGAGCTGGCAAATGAGATATAGGGCTTCTCGAGGGGACTTACATATGCAGCGGTCCAGTGGTAGCAGGCTGGATGGACGAACCACTACCGTTTCTAAAAAGTATGCAGTTTATATAGCATTTTTACTTAGCTCCCCTCCTGCAACCTTCACCTGGCAACCCTCCTTTAATCCGAAATGGGCCGGGGGTTCAGATGTTCCTCATAGACAAGGAATCAGTCTCCGGGTTGGCCACTACCAGGTTCCTCAGCTGAGAACTCCAAACACACATTCTTCTTAGACCATAGGGTCATTCTCAGGGTATGCTTCGGTTGTTGCTGTCAGGTGTGCCTGCCACACATATGTATGGCACATATTTTCTCCCAGTGTGTGGTTTTTCTCTCCCACTCTTTTAGCGATGTCTTTTGATGAAGTAATTTCCTTGATTTTAAGATGGCTCAATGACCAAACCTTTGCCTTATAGCTAACACTATTTGTAAATCCTTCCCTCCTCCAAGGTCATAAAGCTATTCTCCTATACTATTTCCAAAAGTTTCAAAGTTTTGCCTTTTATAACTTAAGTCCCTTAATCTCCCTGAAATTGATTTTTGTGTATGAAATGAAGTACAGATCCATTTCAATTATTTTCTGAACGAATAATCAATTTCCCATGCACCATTTAATGTATTACCCCCTCCTATCCCACTGATGTCGAGTGCCAGCTTAGCCATAAATCACACTGACGTGAGTGTTTCTGTTTCTAGGCTATCCTATAATGTCCCACTAATGGTCATAAGATATCTAAGTAGGAGCCAGTTCCCCTGAGAAAAAAGGGGTACCTGACATCATCCAAACCTTATTCATTAAGTTATTTTAACTTTGGGCCTGGTGCGGTGGCTCACGCCTATAATCCCAGCATTTGGGGAGGCTGAGGCGGGCAGATCTCTTGAGCCCAGGTGTTCAAGACCAGCCTGGGCAACATGGCGAGACCCCATCTCTACAAAAAATATAAAAATTAGACAGGCATGGTGGTGCACACCTGTAGTTCCAGCTACTTGGGAGGCTGAGATGGGAGGACTGCTTGAGCCTGGAAGGTCGAGGCTGCAGTGAGCCAAGATCACACCACTGTACCCAAGCCTGGGCAACACAGTAAGACCCTGCCTCCAAAATAATAATAAATAAATAAACAATAAACTTTGAAATATCTGCATCATAACTGGACATCATTACTAAGGTATCCTAATGGCAATCTGTAAATGAAAACAATGTTACTTTGTATAAAAGAAGCAAATACATATTGATGAAGCTTAGTCAGGAATATATAAGACCTAGAGTTTTTTCCTTTAAGTAATATATATAATTGTTAAAGAAAATATAGATAACACCAAAAAGCAGAAAAAAATATTACCCCTTGGATTACCTTTTCTCACCTACCCCTGTAATTTGGGCAAGTTCAGGACCTCCAGATTTTTTCCCACAATTGCCTACTGGGCCCCTTGAAGTCCTGAACACTTGTTCTTACTCACCAGGTTTTGGGTCTCAAACTAGGATCTGATCTTGTTTCCTGGTGAATCTGTCTCAACCAAACAGACGCCATCTGCCCAGGCTGGCAGCTGTCCATGCTTCCTCTCTCTAAGTCCTCCCCAGGTTCCTAGTTTTTCTTTTTGTTGGCACAGTGATAAATGTCAGGAAATCTTGGGTTCAAAAATGGTGGGCAACCACTGTTCCATAAGTATTATATATGATCAGTGTTATTTCTGCTGGTTCACATCAGCTTCTTCTGGCTGTGTTAAAAGCTAGTCTCTTATTACTAAAGCCACCAACCAAATACAGACACTTTAAAAATCAGCATACGGAAAGTATATGTGCTCAGCAAGCAGTCTAAGAGGAGATTGCTTGCTTAGCAGAATATGTCTATTCAGAAGCAAAACTTAAAGGCACACATTTTCTGACTATTATAACCCGAAATAAATTCTCCAGATTTTTCAAAGATTGTGTTTTTTTTTTTTAAACAAACACGTATAAAATATAGGTAAACTATTTTTTCTGGGTCTTGGCCAATGAGTGTCTTTATCATTAAAATGTAAATTTTTATTTAAACTTTTTTTCTGGGTCTTGGCCAATGAGTGTCTTTATCATTAAAATGTAAATAAAAGGAAGAAAACTTAAATCATCATAAGTTATATTCTGGGTCCTCAAGTTTGAAAGTAATACATTTCACATTACATTTCCCAATTAAAAATGAAACCTATCCCCAGGAAGAAAAAATAATTTCCCCCCTAATTTTCCCTGCTCCCCCTTTCTTTCTTTCCACCATCCTCCTTCCCTCCAATATTTACTGAGTGCCTATGCATTTAGGTGCCAAATCGCTGGAATACCAAGACTTCATTACATTGTATGAAGAAGTCTAGTGGTTTCATTTAAATGCAAGTTTTGTATAAAAGCACGTCTATCCTTTTAAAGGACAACTTGTTAAGACATTCATTTGATTCAGCTCAAGAAAATTAACTGAAATCAGCTGAGGCATTGTGACCACACTACAATCCTCCTAGATCAGAGTATGTCAGAGGAAATTATTCTAGCTGGAAGCTCAGAGAAGGAAAGCCTTGTTTCAGAAGAAAGAACCATAGAAAGGAGATTTTCTTTCAGGAAAAAAGTTATTTCATACTATTTCAGAAGAAAAAATTACAGTAGGCTCTTTTGAAAGCCAAGATGGAAGTAATGAGGGACGATTCCTGATCTTGCAGTTAGTACACAAAGCAGTATTGACATGGAGTTACCAACATGACCTCGACTTTCTTAAAATTCAGTTGTGACTAGGATATAGGAAACAGATCAAGAGGCTTTTAGTATTAAGCAAAGAAAAATGTTTCTTGGACATATTATTTCCTTTGTTCTGTATTTGGACACTTATATTCTTATTGTTTAACAAAGTGAATCAACCGTATCTTTTGAATGTGCCTTGTGGTCCTCATGTAAAGTAATGTGATCTTTCACTTGAATTTTTAGAAAACTGCCTCAGTCTGAAAATCATTATTTATAATAACATTATTCCCTATGTTGCATATAAGGTTCAGTACAATCATTATTTATAATAACATTATTCACTATTGCATATAAGGTTCAGTACAATCATTATTTATAGTAACAACACTATTCCCTATGGTTGCATATAAGGTTCATAACCTCTCAGCTTCTAAGTAGCACCACTGCTATTCAAAGCCTGGTGGCCCTGAATCTGTCCACCAAATATACCATACTATCTACTGCAGAATTGCAGCAAAACACCAGAAACGATGAGCTTGTTAAGAAACATTCATAAAATAATATGAAAGCTTTGCTCTGAACTTAGAGAAAGAAAATATAAAAGTAGTTTAAGGAGAGGGAGCCATGAGCTTGTTTAGGCTCAACTAGAGCAAACCATCATCCAGCTATCTCTGTCCTGGTCGGCTATGGTGGAAGGGACTGTGAGTTGCCTACACAATATCCACTCTTCCCACTTCCTGACTTAAAAATATGTTATTTGGAGTGATAATGTCCTCAGCCTAAAGCTTTCCCAACCTCCTTGGTTTCTGGAGGTGTTCAAGGAAGTGTAAGCAGAAGTGGATGGAAGCCAAGGAAGCCCTTTAAAGCAAACTGATTCAGCTGAGAGATAGGTACTTTTGCCATTATACTTTCTTCCATCTTGGAACGTGGACATAATAGCTGGAGCACCAGTGTGGCAGGCCAGCTCTCACTAACGCAGGCCTCCATAACAACTGTTTCAGTACTGACTGAGTGGTTAAGTTAAATATTAAAAGTTAAAAAAGCCAGTGCCCTTATACAAAGGCTGGAATGTAACGAAAGCCCACCAAGAGTTTTGCCTAGGCTTTTCCTGGGCCTTAAAGCATAACAAAATAACAAAGGAATTCTTAACAGGACCCATTTAGGATTAAACGAGTTTTATTGTGGGTCTGAAGAAACTCCCCAGACCTCCACAAACAAGTTTATTGGAGGTCTGAAGGAACTCCCCAAACCTCCGTGATTTAAGCAGGAGACATAATAAGGGTAATCACCCCAGCAGCTGGACCCATTTAGATTAAGTAAATTTACTGAGGCTCCAGAGGAAGGTCTTCAGGACTCAGACCTTAGCTATAGATTAGAAGAAGTTAATCACTTATGTCTTTAGATGAATGCACACTTACACGTAGACATATAGCTTAGAAGGTATATAAGCTCTGGAAAACTGTAATTTTGAGTTGGTCTGGTGATAATTTCCAGGCCTTCCCCCCATAACCAGTTGCAGAAATAAAAACTCTTCCTCCCCAGTTCATCTGCTTCTCGTTATTGGGCCACGAGAAATAGCAGCCCAACCCTCAGTTTGGTCTGGGAACACCAGGAGCATCTTGTGGTCATGAGGAGACATTTGGCATGTAAGCCAGCACCAAGGATGGGAGAAAACAATGTGAGAAGGAACCTGGGCCCCCTGTGACCATGGAGTTGCCATACAAGCCCTGAGCTACTTACCTCTGAACTTCTTTCATGCTTAAGCAACTCTTATTTGAATTTTCTATAAAATGTGATTGAATCCCAATCGTAAGTGATGTCTTATATAATTTTTCAACTCTAATTATCTTCAATATCTTTTTTTGCCAGAAGTTTACAAAAGCTATTAATAAGTTGTATTCTCACTCATAACTTATTTTCTGCCTCGTATTTATGCCTCTCTGCAACTCATCCCCCAACAGCCTCAAATTCATGTCTTTATCTCTCTCAGTTCTACCCAAGACCATAGTAATGCTGACTTCTCCTGGGTTTCACAGCATATAATATTAACAGAGGAAAATGGAATATTAAAGGTAGAAATGAGCAGTAAATGCAAAAGTCAACAGCTTGGACTGGGATGTCAAGGGAAAAAATGTCATGGAAAATTAAAAGTTAAGAACCCTGTCTAGAATCACAACAGGTCCAGTAATTGCTGAAACCAGGGCTTAAATCTAATGACTCTTTTGTGATGTCAGTCTCAGGAAATGACTGATAGTGAGCTGGCAAGAAGGATGTGGAAGGAGCTTCAGGTTGAGGATGATAGGTTTAGCAACACCCTTGACGGCAGGAGGAGAGAGGTGGACAGTTCTTGTGTACAAACAGCCAGAAGTCATAAGAGTGGAGGACCATTTTAAGAAGCCCAAAAAACTAACGAGGAAGTGGTAAATAAAATAGGTAGGCTTGGAAGCACCTCTCAACCACCAGATTAAATAAAAAAAAAAGAGTGGGGATAGGGGAAGCAGATTAACAAGCAAGAACACTCAGCTACAAAGCAGGATATTCACACAGGCCTGTCAAACTGTACAATGGCTGCTTTTTATTGCCAACTAATGCAACATTCATCCCTGACCCTGACCTTAACTCTGACCATGGAGGACTTTCAGGTTCTTCATTATTTTTGCCAATATTTTTGGAATATATATATATATATATATATAGATAGATGCATATTATTCCCATAATCATCCCCTCATAAGATTTACTAAAAAGTCTGTGCCGTAAAAACTTTAAGGGTATTTGGTGCTCTCCCCCAAATCATCAGTATAATTTTTTTTTCTTTTTTCAGACGAAGTTTTGCTCTTGATGCCCAGGCTGGAGTACAATGGCACGATCTCAGCTCACCGCAACCTCTGCCTCCCAGGTTCAAGCGATTCTCTTGCCTCAGCCACCCGAGTAGCTGGGATTACAGGCATGAGCCACCACGCCCGGCTAATTTTGCATTTTTAGTAGAGACGAGGTTTCTCCATATTGGTCAGGCTGGTCTCGAACTCCCCACTTCAGGTGATCCACCCGCCTTGGCCTCCCAAAATGCTGGGATTACAGGCATGAGCCACGGTGCCTGGCAATTTTTTTTTTTTTACTATATGCATGCTTGATACTCAAAGCTTTGTGCTGGAGAGTCACTCACAGCTTGTTGATAAAGGTGAAGGTTAGCAAAGTTCACAATATGTAAAACTCGGGCATACTGGGACTATAAATCCTAACTCTTGCTGGGTGAAACCCCCTTTCTGTCTTACGTATTGCTGATCTGTATCATATCATCATAAAAATCTCCTAGCTAGTTTATAATATCTTCAGATGTGCAGACCTCAGAAATGTAATCTATTTCTTGCAGAATACAGTCATAGCCTTAAGCTATACATATTAATTGGTTGTCAAGGAAATTGTTCTCCCTCCTTTATATGAAGCATCCCTGGTAAAGAGCCAAAATTACTTTGTCAGTTACTTCCTCCACTTTATCACTAAGAAAATATTAAGACTTTTGGTTTCCTTCTTTGGGCCTGATTATAATAAACTGATAATTATAAGCAGATTATTTTCTTCAAACAATATGAATTTATCTTCCACAGGCCCAAATATTTCCACCCCAACTCATAACCCTGCCAATGCTTTTAGCTTCTAGGTAGAATAAGAATTGAAATTCAAGATGTAGACATTTAAAATATAAGTAAAATCTTGAGGCCAGGTGCAGTGGTTTAAGCCTGTAATCCCAGCACTTTGGGAGGCCAAGGTGGGCAGATCACCTGAGGTCAGGAGTTCAAGACCAGCCTGGCCAACATGGTGAAACCCCGCCTCTACCAAAAATACAAAAATCAGTTGGGCATGGTGAAGTATGCCTGTAATCCCAGCTACTCCGGAGGCTGAGGCATAAGAATCTCTTGAACCTGGGAGGCAGAGGTTGTAGTGAGCTGAGATCGTGCCACTGCACTCTAGCCTGAGACTCTGTCTCAAAAAAAAAAAAAAAGTAAAATCTTGAAAAGGAAAGGATGCTTTGCTTTAAATGACTGATAGCTTTTCCCAAGATGAGTAAGTGTGGCTTGTAAATGTCTTTTGTAAAATTTTAAAGTACTTATTTAACAAAGAAAAGTTGTACATATTCAAGGCGTACAACATGATGATTTGATATACATACACAGTGTGTACTGACTACCACAATCAAATTAACTAACATATCCATCACCACCCAGTTATCATCTGTGTGTGGTTGCAGTGCTGACACTTAAAATCTATCTTCTTATCTAATTTCAAGTAAACACAGTATCGTCAACTATATTCACCATGTTGAACATTAGATCCACTGAACTTATTCATCTTAAAACTAAAAGTTTGTACACTCTGACTAATATCTCCCCTAATCCCTCACCCCCAGACCCTGGCAACCACCATTCTACTCTGTTACTAAGAGTTCAACTTTTTAGATTCTACATATAAGTAAGACAAAACAATATTTGTCTTGCTGTGTTTGGCTTATTTTACTTACCATCATGTCCTCCAGGTTCGTTTCTGTTTTTGCAAATGGCAGGATTTCCTTCTTCATGGCTAAATAATATTCCATTGTGTATACACACCACATTTTCTTTATTCATTCATTGGCTGACAGATACTTAGGTTGTTTCCATATCTTGGCTATTGTGAATAGTGCTGCTATGAACATGGGGTGCAGATGTCTCTTCAAGACACAGATTTTATTTCATCCCAGAAGTGGGATGGCTGGATCATATGGTAGCTCTTTTTTTAAATTTTGGAAGAACGTCCATACTGTTTTTTGATAATTCCTGTACAAATTGATATTTCCACCAACAATATACAAAAATTCTCTTTTCTCCACATCCTCGCCAACACTTACTATCTCTTGTCATTTTGATAAAGTCATTATAACAGGTGCAAGGTGATAGCTCATGGTGGTTTTGACTTGCATTTCTCTCATGATTAGTAATCTTGGGCAACTTTTCACATGTCTGTCAGCCATTTGTATGTCTTCTTTGGAAAAATGTCCATTCAAGTCCTTTGTCCGTTTTTAAATTGGGCTTTATGTTTTCTTGCTAATGAGTTATGTGAAATCCTTTATGTGAATTCCTTATATATTTTGGATATTAACTCCTTATCAAACATATGGCTTGCAAATATTTTGTCCCATTCTTTAGGCTGTCTTTTAATTTTGTTGATTGTTTCCTTTGTTGTGCAGAAGTTTTTTTAGTTTAACATAGTCCCATTTCATTATTTTTGCATTTGTTGCCTGTGCTTTTGTTGTCATTTCCAAAAAAATCATTGCCAAGACCAAGGTTGAGCTTTTTGCTGATGTTTTCTTCCAAGACTTTTACGATTTCAAATCTCACATTCAGTTAAGTCTTCAATTCACTTGAATTGTTGTATATGTTGTAAATCAAGGGTCCAATTTCAATCTTTTGCATATAGATATCCAGTTTTTCCAACACTATTTATTGAAGAGATGATCTTTTCCCCATTGTGTATTCTTGGCACCCTTGTCAAAGATTAGATGACCATATATGTTTGGGTTTATTTCTAGTCTTTCTATTCTGTCCCAGTGACCCTAGTGGCCGTTTTTAGGCCAGTTCCATACTGTTTTAATTACTAGAGCTTTGTAATGTAGTTTGAAACCAGGAAGTAGTTTGAAACCAGGAAGTGGTTCCTCCAGCTTTGTCCTTCTTTCTCAAGATTGCTTTGGTTACTTGGGGTCTTTTGCAATTCCATACAAATATTAGGATTGTTTTTCTGATATCTGTGAAAAATGCCATTAAAATTTTGATAGGCATCGCATTGAATCTGTATGTTGCTTTCAGTAGTATGGACATTTTAACAATATTAACTATTCCACTCTTTGAACAGAGGATACCTTTCCATTTATTTCTGTCTTCAATTTTTTTTTTTTTTTTTTTGGTCTCACTCTGTCACACAGGCTGCAGTGCAGTGGCACAATCATGACTTACTGCAGCCTCAAACTCCTGGAATCACGCAATCCTTCTGCCCCAGCCTTCAATTTCTTTCATTAATATTTTACAGTTTTCAATGTACAGATCTTTCACCTTCTTGGTATTCCTAGGTATTTTATTTTATTTCATTTTATTTTGTTTTATTTTATTTTTTGGGATGGAGTTTTGCTCTTGTTGCCCAGGCGGGAGTGCAATGGCATGATCTCGGCTCACCGCAACGTCCACCTCCCGGTTCAAGCGATTCTCCTACCTCAGCCTCCTGAGTAGCTGGGATTACAGGCATGCGCCACCACGCCCGGCTAATTTTTTGTATTTTTAGTAGAGATGGGGTTTCTCCCTGTTGGTCAGGCTGGTCTCAAAATCCCAACCTCATGTGATCCACCCCCCTCGGCCTCCCAAAATGTTGGGATTACAGGCATGAGCCACCACGCCTGGCCTATTTTATTCTTTCTGATGCTATTGTAAATAGGATTGTTTTCTTAATTTCTGGTTAGTTGTCAGTATACAGAAATGCAACTAATATTTGTATGTTAATTTTGTATCCTGCAACTTTACTGAATTCATTTATTAGTTCTAACTGTGGAATCTTTAGGGTTAATATATAAGATCATGACATCTGCAAACAGAGACTATTTAGCTTTCCCTAATTTGGATGTCTTTTGTTTCTTTTTCTTGCCTAATTGCTCTAGCTAGGACTTCTAGTACTATGTATAACAGAAGTGGTGAGTGTGGGCATCCTTCTCTTGTTCTTGGTTTTAGAGGAAAAGCTTTTAGCTTTTCACCATTGAGTAGGATGTTAGTTGTGAGCTTGTCATATATGGCCTTTATTATGTTGAGGTATATTCCTTCTGTATCTGATTTGTTAATAGTTTTTAATCATGAAAGGATGTTGAATATTGTCAAATACTTTTTCTGCAACTATTGAGATGATCATGTGATTTTTATCCCTCATCCTGTTAATGTGGTATATCACATTTACTAATTTGCATATATTTGAACCATCCTTGCATCTCAGAGATACATTTCATTGATTATGGTGTATGATGTTTTTAGTGTGCTGTTGAATTAGGTTCGCTGGTATTTTGTTGAGAACTTTTGCATCTATGTTCATCAGTGATACTGATCTGGAATTTTCTTGTAGTGTCCTTATCTGGCTTTGGTATGAGGGTGTTGCTGGCCTCATAAAATGAATTTGGAAGTGTTCCCTCCTCTCGAATTTCTTGGAAGAGTTTGAGAAGGATTGGTGTTAATTCTTATTTAAACGCATAGTAGAACTCACCAAAGAAGCCATCTAGTTTGGGGTTTTTCTTTGCTGGAGGTTTTTGATGACTCATTTAATCTCCTTACTTATTTGGTCGTTTATATTTTCTAGTTTTTTTATGATTCAATCTTTGTAGGTTGTATGTTTCTAGGAATTGATCCATTTCTTCCAGGTTATCCAATTTGTAGGCATACAATTATTCACAGTAGTCTCTTATGATTCTATTTATTTGGTATTAGCTATAATACAGGTATACCTCTGATACATTGCAGGTCCAGTTCCAAACCACCACAACAGAGCAAATACCACAATAAAACAAGTCACATCCATTTTTTGGTTTCCCAGTGCATATGAAAGTTATGTTGACACTATACTGTAGTCTAGTAATGTGCAATAATACCATTATGTCTAAAACAACAATGTACATACCTTAAAAATACTTTATTGCTAAAAAATGATAATGATCATCTAAGTCTTCAGTGAGTCACAATCTTTTTTGCTGGTAGAAGGTCTTGTCTCATTACTGAGGCCTGCTGACTGATCAGGTTGGTGGTTGTTGAAGGTTGGGGTGGCTGTGGCAATTTCTTAAAATAAGACAAGTTTAATGCATTGATCAACTGTTCCTTTCGTGAAAGATTTCTCTGTAATAGGCAATACTGTCTGGCAGCATTTTACCCACAGTAGAACTTTTTTCAAAATTGGAGTCAATCCTCTCAAATTCTGCCACTGGTTATCAACTAAGTTTGTGAAATATTCTACATCTTTTGTTGTCACTTCAACAATATCCACAGCATCTTCACCAGGAGTAGATTCCATCTTTAAGAAGGATGTTCATCCATAAGAAACAAGTACTCATTCATTCACATTTTATCCTCAGATTGCAGCAATTCAGTCACATCTTCAGGCTTCACTTCTAATTCTAGCTCTCTTGCTGTTTCCACCACATCTGCAGTTCCTTCCTCCACTGAAGTCTTGAACCCCTCAAAATCATCCACCTTTACTAATAATCTTAGCTAGATCTTCTGGATGACTTGCTGCGGCCCCTACATCAGCATTTGCTGCTTATTTGCACTTTTATGTAATGGAAATGGCTTCTTTCCTTAAATCTCATGAACCAGTCTCTGCTAGTACCAAACTCTCCTTCCATAGCACTGCCTCTCTCAGTCTTCATAGAACTGAAGAAAGACCTTGCTCTGGATTAAGCTTTGGCTTAACGGAATGTTGTGGTTGGTTTGATCTTCTATCCAGAAGACTCAAACTTTCTGTATATCAGTAATAGGTTTTTTTGCTTTATTTGTCTATCTATCTATCTATCTATCTATTTATTTATTTATTTATTTATTTAACAGAGTCTCGCTCTGCCACCCAGGCTGGAGTGCAATGGCACGATCTTAGCTCACTGCAACCTCCGCCTCCTGGGTTCAAGCAATTCTCCCACCTCAGCCTCCCAAGTAGCTGGGACTACAGGCACGTGCCACCATGCCTGGCTACTTTTTTTTTGTATTTTTAGTAGAGATGGGGTTTCACCATGTTAGCCAGGATGGTCTCGATCTCTTGACCTTGTGATCTGCCCACCTTGGCCTCCCAAAGTGCTGGGATTACAGGCGTGAGCCACCGCACCTGGCCTGCTTTATCTTTTGTGTGTTCACTGGAATAGCACTTTTAATTTCCTTCAAGAACGTTTCTTGGCCTTCACAACTTGACTGTTTGACACAATAGGCCTATCTGGGCTTTCAATATGCCTTCTTCACTAAGCTTAATCATTTCTACATTTCGATTTAAAGTGAGAGATGTGTAACTCTTCCTTTCACTTGAACAATTAGAGGCCATTATAGGGTTATTAATTGGTTTAATCTCAATACTGTTGTGTCTCAGGGAATAGGGAGGCTCAATGAGAGGGAAAGGCCAGTCAGAACAGTAGCAGAGCCCACACTGTAGTAGTCAGAGACCACATGATATCTATTGATTAAATTCACCTTCTTACATGGGGACAGTCTGTGATACCCCAAAGCAATTACTATTGTAACATCAAAGATCACTGATCACAATCAGCATTGTGATATAATAATATCATAATATATATGTATTATATATAATATATATTATATATAACATATATTGCATATAACATATAATATATAACATATATTATATATTATATACGTATTATATATATTACATATTATATATACATAATATTATATATATAATACAATAATGAAAAACTTTGATATATTGTGTGAATTACCAAAATGGGACACAGAGACACAGAGTGAGCACATGCGGGAAAAACGTTGCCAACAGACTTGCTCCATGCAGGGTTGCCACAAACCTTCAATTTGTAAAAAATGCAATATCTGCAAAGTACAATAAAGTGCAATAAACCAAGGTATGCCTGTATCTCTTCTTTCATTTATAATTTCATTTATTTGAGTTCTCTCTTTTTTTCTTGGTAAAGCTAGATAAAGGATTTGTCAATTTTGTTTCTCTTCAAAAAACAAATCTCAGTTTTGTTGATCTTTTCTACTGTCTCCTTAGCTTCTTTTTGCTCCAATCTTTGTCTCCTTCTGCTGACTTTGGGCTTAGTTTGTTCTTCTTTTTCTAGTTCCTTGGGGTGTGAAATTAGGTTGTTTAAGATCTTTCTTCCGAATGTAGGCCTTTATCCCTCTAAACTTCCCTCTTAGAATTGCTTTTGCTGCATCCTGTAACTTTTGGTATGTTGTGTATCCATTTGCATTTGCCTCAAGATACTTCCTAATCTCTCTTTTGATTTCTTCTTCAACCAAGTAGTTGTTCAGGAGTGTGTGCTTAATGTCTACATATGTCCATTTTTCATAATTCCTGTTATTAATTTCTAATGTTATTATGATCAGAAAAGGTACTGGAGATGATTCCAATCTTCTTAAATTTGTTAAGTCTTGTTTTGTGGCCCAACATATAATCTAGCCCTTGTGAATGTTCCAAGCGTCCTTGAGAAAAACGTGTATTCTGCTGCTATTGGATGAGATGGTCTGTGTATGTCTGTTAGGTCCACTTGGTCTATAATGTTATTCAGGCCACTGTTTCCTCATTGATTTTCTGTCTGGATAATCTACCCACTGTTGAAAGGGGTACTGAGGCATCCTGCTATTGTTGTATTGATGTCTGTTTTTCCCTTCAGCTCTGTTAATATGTGCTTTATGTATTTAGATGCTTCAATGTGGGGTGCACATATATTTATAATTGTTATATCCTCTTGATGAACTGACCTCTTTATTATTATATAGTGATCTTCTTTGTCTTCTGTGACAGATTTTGACTGAAAGTCTATTTAGTCTGATATAAATAAAGCCACTCCTGCTCTCTTTTGATTACTATTTGCGTGGAATATTTTCTTCCATCCCTTTACTTTCAGCCTATGTATGTCCTTAAGTCTAAAGTGAATTTCTTGTACACACGAATATTGTTAGATCTTGGGTTTTCTTTTAATCCATTTGGCCACTGTTTATCTTTGGTTGGGGAATTCAATCCATTTACATTTAAACTAATTATTGAGAGTTAAGGGCTTAACTATTTTGTTTTGTTTTGCAGTTCATTTGTTCCTTTCTTCCTCTCTTACAGTCTTGCTTTGTGACTTTAAATTTTTTTTTGTAGTGGTATGCTTTGATTCATTTCTTTATCTTCTGTGTTTCTACTAAAGGTAGGTTCTTTGGGGTTACCATGGACCTTACATAAAACAAAACATTCTGTTTAAACTGGTAACAACTCAACTTCAATTGCATACAAAAATTCTACACTTGCCAGGTGCGGTGGCTCACGCCTGTAATCCCAGCACTTTGGGAGGCGGAGGTGAGCAGATAACTCGAGGTCAGGAGTTGGAGACCAACCTGGCCAACATGGTGAAACCCCATCTCTACTACAAATACAAAAATTAGCCTGGCATGGTGGTGCGTGCCTGTAGTCCCAGCTACTCGGGAGGCTGAGGCAGGAGAATCTCTTGAACCCGGGAGGCAGAGGTTGCAGTGAGCCGAGATTGCACCACTGCACTCCAGCCTGGGCAACAGAGCAAGACCCTGTCTCAAAAAAAAAAAAAAAAAATTACTACACTTTTACTTATCCCCCACCCACCATTCTATGGTGTTGATGTCACACTTTACACCTTTTTATACTGTGTATTCATCAACAAATTATGCAGGTATAGTGATTTTTAATACTTTTGTCTTTTAACTTTTATACTAGAGCTGAACTTCTAATGTCTAGTTATACTTGGCTGGTTTGCCTGATGTTATTTAACCCTTAACCTTCTGCACAGTTCTCTTTGGTTTTCACCTCATGCCTCACCCCATTTCTGACCTGCCATTATATCCAATATTGACAGGGCAAGGATAGGGAGTAGGAGGAAGAGGAGGAGAAAAAGAGAAAGACATTACCATAGGCTGGTTAACAGTGAGGTGAAGCTCAGGAGATGGTGAGGTTGTCTGCACATTGTCTGATAACTTTGAAACTTAAAACCTGTCAGAATGGCTCTGTCAGAGCAATAGAATTTAAATGTCATGGAACTATTTCTCAGGGTTATTCCTCCTTAAAGGCACATTCTTCTTAAGTTCTAACTGCATGTCCTCAATAAGCTGCTTTCAGATCCATTGTTGAATTTCCTCAGGTAAAACTATGAGCCTAAGGGCAAAGCTTTTCCTATCAGGCTTCATGAGAAAATAAAAATTATAAATTTGAAAATATTTTAATTAGGCCTTAGTTAAAATTAAAGAGAGAACTCATGTGCGATAAAGATACTTAGTGAGAAGGTTCAAGAAAAATAACTTTGGTACTGGTTATTTAAGAATTCAGGATGCACCAGCCTGGCCAACATGGTGAAACCCCGTCTCTACTAAAAACATACAAAAATTAGCCAGGCATGGTAGTGGGCGCCTGTAGTCCCAGCTACTCGGGAGGCTGAGGCAGGAAAATCACTTGAGCCCCAGAGGCGGAGGTTGCAGTGAGCCAAGATTGCACCACTGCACTCCATCCTGGGCAATAGAGTGAGACTCTGTCTCAAAAAAAAAAAAAGGAATTCAAGATTCAGTGCCAAAAACACTAAGTTAAGAATTACTTTTATTTGATGGTCTTCAGAGCCCAGTGAACAAAGAACACTTAGGCCAACAGACACAAATTTCTGCCTTAAGTTTAAATGTGCACATACTCTGTCTCTCTTCAAACTAATAAGTAGCTCTTAAATGTTGGCAGGTAATGTCAGGGAACCTCTATGGGTTTTGAATTGTAAACTTAAGACTACGTATTTTTTTACAGAAAACTGAATTTCTTACAATGTATACGATAAATGTTTACATAAAGTTGTAAACTACGTTTGACACAGAAAATTGGTTTTGTTCATTCACCTTGTCATAATTAACTCAATGTCTATGATGTGCTCACTAATCTTGTAATTAATCTCACCAATATATAAACTATCTGAAGTGTTGTGCTAGTTGGAAAAATACCTAGACTTACATACTAAGATATTCTACTCCCAGTTAAATAGTAAATAAAATTGCATTTATAGTTGGCCAGGCGCAGTGGCTCATGACTGTAATCCCAGTACTTTGGGAGGCCGAGGTGGGTGGATCACCTGAGGTCAGGAGTTCAAGACCAGCCCAGCCCACATGGTGAAACCCCGTCTCTACAAAAATACAAAAATTAGCCAGGCATGATGGCAGGTTTCTGTAATCCCAGCTATTCAGGAGGCTGAGGTGGGAGAATTGCATGAACCCGGGAGGCGGAGGTTGCAGTGAGCCGAGATCGTGCCATTGCACTCTAGCCTGGGCAACAGAGCGAGACTCCGTCTAAAAAAAAAAAAATGCATTTATAGTAGATTCCAGCCTGCGTGACAGAGCGAGACTCCGTCTCAAAAAACAACAACAACAACAAAATTTAGATTCAGGGGTACATGTGCAGGTTTGTTAGATGGATATATTGTGTGATGTGGGAGGTTTGGGTTCCTGCTGAATTCCTTACCCAAATAATAAACATAGTACCCAATAGGTAGTTCTTACATCTTTGTCCTTCTTTTGGAGTCCCCAGTGTCTGCTGTTTCCATAGAATCATTTTCTTTTTTCTTTTTCCTTTTTTTTGATATGGAGTCTCGCTCTGTTGCCCAGGCTGGAGTGCGGGGGCACAATCTTGGCTCACTGCAACCTCCGCCTCCCAGGTTCAAGCGATTTTCATGCCTCAGCCTCCTGAGTAGCTGGGATTATAGGAGCGCGCCACCACGCCCGAATAATTTTTGTATTTTTAGTACAGACGGGGTTTCACCATGTTGGTCAGGCTGGTCTCCAACTCCTGACCTTGTGATCTGCCCGCCTCGGCCTCCCAAAGTGCTGAGATTACAGACGTGAGCCACCGCGCCCAGCCCATAGATTCATTTTCAAAACCACAATGCATAGTGACATTCTTTCACAAACTTGTCAAGCTGTTTGCCCAGGTGAGCAATATATTGTTTTAATAAGACAACTGTTTGCCCAGATGAGCAAACTGTTTGTCCTGATAAATTGATTTGCAAGACTTTCCTAAAGCAAACAGTGAATTTATTTATTAATTTACTGTCTTATCTTCCTGGGCACGAATTTCGTGGAACAAAGAGTTAAGTTATATTGACATGGGTGGGCTCAGTTTTAATACTTCACAAGAAAAGACCTGACCTAAAGTCAGAAAAAAGAAAAGACCTGGAATTTTAGAGGTGGGTGATTAATCTAAGCCCATAAACTCACCATAGAAGAAACCGAGATCCAGAGAGTTCAAATAACCTGCCCAAATTCACTGAGCCAGTTAGTGAGAGAGCAGGCAACATAACCCAGATATTCTGGCTCCTAATCCAGTGTTCTTTCCATTATATCACTCAGCCCCTATTTTGAAGTCTTTTGGACCTCAAGAAATAAAGTATTTTATAACACCTCTAAATGGTTTCCAGGATCTCAAACATTTCCATAAATATAATGCAGAGATTTAAGCAGAGGCACGACATTTGCAAAGTTGTCAAGTCACATCTCACACACTTCACGATGAAAAAAATTCAGAAATGAATATGGTATTTTATTTTACATCATTAAAGACCACAATTATACTTTGGCAAAAATGTCCATTCCACCATTTGGTTTTCTGCACTCCATATTTGGAAACAAATAAAAAATAATAAAGAACTTTGACCAGCACTCCAATGTCACAACTGTCCCCCTGAAACACCATATAAAGACTTTCTGTTCATTTTATGACTCTTCATCATCTAGAAAGTGTGAAATTTAGACATGTTGGTTTTATGTTTAGATTGCTGAGACAGTGGAAAGATTTATAATACATCACGTAGCAAAAAGCTTCCTACTGCTTAAGGTTCTGTGGTCCAATACGGTGGCCACTACCCACATGTGACCACTTAAATTTAAATTAATTAAAGCAAAATTCAAAAATCAGTTCTTCACTCATATACTTATATTTTTATAGTAGAAATGGCTGTGTACTTTCAGCAATGTTTTAGGGGTATGTTGTATGTGGCCACCTCACTATTGAATGTACACCACTCTAGTAAATGTGCATCATTAAATAAACCACAAAGCAAGGTCAGGATAGGGTAACACAGTAACGAAGAGCCACAGAATCTCAAGTGTTTTAATACAAAAAAGTTTCATTTGTTCTAACCATGTTCAAGGCAGATGTTTCTGGCCAGGTGAGGTTCTCCTGGAAACATTGCCTCTATGCAGCAATTTGGAGAGACAGGCTCAAGGAGTTGGGGGAGAGTGGATTTTGCCACGTTTGTGAGCTAGGTCTGGAAGTGCCACACGTCATTCCTCCTCATAATCAACTGGCGGTGTTTAGTCTCCTGGCCCCACACAGATGCAAAGGGGTTGAGAAGGCCATCTTCCTATCAACCCAGGGAAAAGATGAAATGGCGTGGTGAGCACAGTGCACTGTCTTTGCTACTGAAGTGGGCCATCATCTGGACCTCATCACACAAACAGATGAGAATTTGTTTATGGCAAGTCTCAAGATTTTGTTAACTGTGGTGGATTCACCACCCCTCAGCATAAAAGGACTATAGATCCCTGCGTCATTGATGCCAGGAGTGGCTGTCTGATTTGGGAGCCCCTCTCCTGCACGACTGCAGGTCCCCAGAGCAGCCGTCTGACTTGCTTTGTAAAGTGTGAGTGCCATGACATGTGCTGCTTTGAAGCTGAAGCTTTAAGAACCATTGTGTGTGTTCCCATTGCGTTCTTTTTCTGTCTACTGAAACACTAGCAAAGCCTCAGGGAGAGGATGTTCCTTCAGCCCATATCTCAGAATGACAGTGACATGGAATAGTGTCTTAGTTACCTGCAATGAATGTACAGCATGAAAGACAAACCTTTATTGTTGTAAGCCCTTGAAATTTTGGGGTTTGTTACCACAGCATAATTTAGTCTAAGCTGACTAATAATGTATAATGTAATAATTTCAAAACCATAGCAGTGGATGTGGCTCTTTTGAAATAATCAAGAGTATAAATTGCTTATGATTTGTGATTAATAATAAAACATTCCTGTGAGTGGTAGAGAATATGACAAAAGCAATAATTTAAATTAGGTACAACCTTTCCTTTAGACTTCTTTGCTTGTGAAATTACCTCCCAGGTCATGTGAAAGGGGCTCTACCAGTGGCTTGAAGATGGCAGAGTCTCTGCTTCCCCTGCCAAATAGTGAAGGCTGTGGCAGGGGTGGAGTTCTTGTGGGGTGGTTATGCTCCCATGGTTTCTGGTACTATTGGTCCAGGTACATAAAAGGGTAAAGAAACATCCATCTGGACACAGCTTACACATAAAACAGGTTCCTACCAACTGATTTATAAAACACCTTCTGGAATTGAACATATCATATTGAAAACCACAAAATTGGTTCTGTAGGCATATAGCTAATAAGAACTAATTTTGTCATGTGCTTATAGCTTTTCTATTAAACCATAAAACACATTTTATGAGTTGAAGAGAGAATTTAGGTATCATAAACTTTGAAGGAAGATCAAGAAAGCAAAGCTAAAAGATGACTTAGTTGTAATTCATCCACCTTTTTCCAAAGTTTCAGGCGAAAGGATTCCTACCATCCTCACTTTGTTTTTCTGAACACTTTAAGTTCCTTTGCTGTTATTCTAAGGAAATTCTCTTTAGCTCTTCACTAAGGATAGAAAACAATTATTTTGGCCGGGCGCGGTGGCTCACACCTGTAATCCCAGCACTTTGGGAGGCCGAGGTGGGTGGATCACGAGGTCAGGAGTTCAAGAGCAGCCTGGCCAACATGGTGAAACTCCATCTCTAATAAAGATACAAAAATTAGCTGGGCGTGGTGGCATGCGTCTGTAATCCCAGCTACTCGGGAGGCTGAGGCAGGAGAATCGCTTGAACCCGAGAGGTGGAGGTTGCAGTGAGCCAAGATCGCGCCACTGCACTCCAGCCTGGCGACAGAGCAAGATTCCATCTCAAAAAAGAAAACAATTATTTTCCATACATCCTTTTGGTTACAGTCAATGCCTGACTATTCAAGGCCATAGAGTAGCAAAAAACATCAGTGTTGGCATGAAATCAAATCAACAAATATGTTTTTTCCTTGAGAGACACTAAATTGATACCTTGATAAATGATTAAACACTTCACAGTGCCCTAAATTCTCAGCCTTCTTCAACAGTCCTGACCACTGCCACGCCGGACTCTAATGGCTGCAATAGGGATGGCGCCATGTTTGAGAGGCTTTCAAAGAGACCTGGAGCCAGTAAATGAGACAAGGTTTACTGAGAGGATTTACATACAGGGTGGTCCAGTGGTGACGGGCTGGACTAGACAATGGCAACTGCTTGTAAAAAGCATGCAGTTTATACAGCATTCTTGCTTAGCACCCTCCCCCTAGCAACCTCTATCTAACCCAAAACAAAGGGCCTCAATCCCCTATATGGCCTGTGTTCCACAGGATGGGCTGAGGGTTCAGATGTTACTCACAGATAAGGAATGACTCTCCCAGTTGGCCTTCCTGGATTTATTAGCTGGGAACTCTGAATACACATTCTTCTTAGGCTACAGGGTCATCCTCAGGTTATGCTTAAATTTTGTGTCAGGTGCATCTGCCATGCAAGGTCATTCTCAGAGTATGCTTAAGTTAGCTAGTGGTGTCAGCTGTGTCTGCCACACAACTATGAAAATCAATATTCCTTTTTAAAAGCTATTAGCAGGCTGGGAACAGTGGCTCACGCCTATAATGCCAGCACTTTGGGAGGCCGAGGTGGGCAGATCACAAGGTCAGGAGTTCAAGACCAGCCTGGCCAACATGGTGAAACCCTGTCTCTACTAAAAATACAAAAATTAGCTGGGCGTGATGGCGCGCGTGCCTGTAATCTCAGCTACTAGGGAGGCTGAGGCAGGAGAATCGCTTGAACCAGCGGTTGCAATGAGCCAAGATCGCACCACTGCACTCCAGCCTGGTGACAGAGCAAGACTCTGTCTCAAAAAAACTAAAAAAAAAAAAAAAAAAGTAATTATTAGTAAAATGGCCTAAAAGCCTGTAGAAACACAGAGAAATAAAATTAAGAAACCTAAGACCAGGTGTGGTGGCTCACCCCTGTAATCCCAGGATTTGGGAGGCCGAGAAGGGAGGATCACTTGAGGCCAGGACTTTGAGACCAGCCTGGGCAACAAAGCAAGACTCCGTCTCTACAAAACATTTAAAAAATAAAACAATGAGCTGAGTGCACTGGTGCACACCTGTAGTTCCAGCTAGTCTGGAGGCTGAGGTGGAAGGATTGCTCGAGTCTAGGTCAAGGCTGCAGTGATCTGTGATCACACCACTGCATTCCAGCCTTGTCAACAGAGCAAGACACTATCTCTTTAAAAAAAAAAAAAAAAAAAGAAAGAAAGAAAAGAAAAGAAAAAGAAAAAAACACAAATTTTCTAACCCAGTGTACAAAGCTCTGTAATACTCACTAAATTTCATGATAAATTGTAACAATGCTTTTAATTTTCTTTTATTTCTAACCCTTTGATTTTCTCAAAGCAATTTCTCATACTTTTATAAATAAAAATACTACCATTATGTATTTGCCAGTATATATTTATTATGCACAATGCCAGACAGCAGGGAATGCAAAGATCCTTTTCTCTGGAAGTGAATCATCTGCTCAGGACAGAAATTTACATATAAAAGAAATGTAGAAAACAGCGGGGCATGGTGGCTCATGCCTATATTTCCAGTACTTTGGGACTCCAAGGTGGGCAGATCACTTGAGGTCAGGAGTTCAAGACCAGCCTGGCCAACATGATGAAAGCCCATCTCTACTAAAAATACAAAAATTACCTGGGCATGGTGACGCCCACCTGTAATCCCAGCTACTAGGGAGGCTGAGGCAGGAGAATTGCCTGGACCCGGGAGGTGGAGGTTGCAGTGAGCTGAGATTGCACCATTGTACTCCAGCCTGGGCAACAGAGCAAGACTGTGTCTCAAAAAAAAAAAAAAAAAAAAAAGAAAGAAAGAAAGAAAGAAAAAAGAAAACAATACAATACAGAATGCAATGGTCTGTGTCATAGGAAATCAGGTTTTTCTGCTTCCCATAAAACCAAAAGGATACATTCAGATATTTACCACCACCTTTCTGAACTTGGTTTACAATGAGAAGTTTCCTGTTTTACATTGATATTCTTTAAATTCTGCTTTATTTGCAATGGAATAAATTCAGGTAGATCTAACAAGCATACCCTGACAGTTTTTCATTTCTAGCAGCTAATTAAAAGCAGCTGCAATGTTAGTCTTTGTAAACAGAATGCATCTTAGAGCAATTACTATCACAATTCTGCCAGACACCACGGTTTTATGGCCCAGACAAATCAGCTGACTGCTTCTTTCCCTGCAATCTGCTGCACAGGGACTTCTAGATCAGGTTTTGCTTTTGCTGAATTGATGAGGTACACACAGGCATAAGGAGAAAAATTTAATTGCACTAAAATTACATAGGTCAGTGTTTTTCTCTGTTAAAATGATAATAAGCAAATTCCAATTATAAGCAACAGTTGCTCAGAAAATCTAATTATGTTTCAAAAGCCAGTGAGTGAAAAATGATATTTTCTGATAGAATCACTAGCTTAGCTGAATTTGAAAATGCACTTAAAATATTACCCTTCATATAGAGCATAAGATAACCAGCTGTTTTATTGCATTTATATGCATAAAATGAGAGGCTCCTGATAGTAACTTTTAATGATTTCAAATGTTAGAGAAAAAAAATCAAGTTTAAAAATAAATTGTTTCATTTTGTAGCCAGAACTATAATGCACCATGGCATTAAATATGACAAATTTATAATAAAAAGTAAATTTTTTTTTTTTTGAGACAGAGTCTCGCTCTGTTGCCCAGGCTGGAGTGCCGTGGGGTGATCTCTGCTCACCGCAACCTCTGCCTCCCAGGTCCAAGCGATTCTCCTGCCTCAGCCTCCCCGGTGGCTAGGATTACAGGCGCATGCCACCACTCCCAGCTAATTTTTGTATTTTTAGTAGAGACAGGGTTTCACCACGTTGGGCAGGCTGGTCTCGAACTCCTGACCTCAAGTGATCCACCCCCCTCGGCCTCCCAAACTGCTGGGGTTACAGGTGTGAGCCACTCTGCCCGGCCAAAAGTGTAATTTTTTTATAAGCACCTCTTTAGTATTTGTATGCATGTCTCCAAATGCCAAAAACATTCTTAAGTTAATTTCTGGTTCTACTATAAAAAGTAATATTTCAATTTCTGGGTAAAGATGGATTGAAAAATATATTTATTTTTACTCTCCCCTAAAACTCCTCTAAAGATACAATAAAATTAAAAAAAAAAATTTGGTGCCCACAAGAGAATATGATAGGAAAGAGCAGTAACAAACTGTTAAAAGCTGGGATACAGATGGGCGAGGAGTGACTGATGTTGCAGACCTAAGAAAGCAAATGCTCCTTAATGAATAACATCATCACAGGGTTAAATGAGATAATCTAGCTTACAAAACCAGTATTCAAGGAATGCTAGCTTTTATTATTAACAAAATGTTTACAAAGTGTGATGTTCTGGAAGGCAGAATAACATTTTTGAATTAGTGAGTGAGGATTAGGAAAGAAGAAGGTTAGGAGAAAAATGCAACCTGACAAGACCAGAGCTGGGAGTCACTAAAGGAAAAGGCTTATTTTAGACTCTTTAAGGGAGCCATGCTCTTCCAGTTAAGACTAGGGTAACTTTGCCGAGGAAATCCTTTGAAGAAATCAATGAAGACAGCCAAGGGACGGTATCTTTGGAAATCCGATAAAGTTCAGAAATTAAAAATTTGACCACAGGAAATGCCAAAAAATAGGCCTAATCCCAGAATCATAAATAGAATGTGTACCTGATGCCTATTTTAAGGCCTCTGAGTCCCCCTTTTGATGGAAGTTTAAGTGCAGCTGACACTCTTCCAGAGGACATTCAAGAAGACATTCATCCTGAGGAGGTGGAAAACCAGAGCTGGGAAATATGTAGCGGGGAGGTGACTTCAAGGTCCAGGCAGGAAATCCTCTGGATTCTTTAAGAGGAGTCGCAGAGCTGATTATTGAACCCAGAAGCTCAGGGACATAGACGGCCACATCTATACTTAACTGACTTTGCCACTTCATAAAGGGAGAAAATGAAAGTCTAAAAAAGAAATTCAAGTCTGAGCTCAGGCTCTGAATAAACAGGGCTTTGCTTCTTTACCTACTGCGAGGAAATCCTCCACCTTAAATCCTCTTTAGTCTCATGCCAATTTTTTTTTTTTTTTTTTTGAGAGCGTGTCTTGCTTTGTTGCCCAGGCTGGAGTGCAGTAGCGCAATGTCGGCTCACTGCAATCTTTGCCTCCTGGGTTCAAGAAATTCTCCTGCCTCAGCCTCCTGAGTAGCTGGGATTACAGGTGCCTACCACCATGCCCAGCTAATTTTTGTACTTTTAGTAAGATGAGGCTTCACCATGCTGGCCAGGTTGGTCTCAAACTCCTGACCTCAAGTGATCTGCCTGTCTCGGCCTCCCAAAGTGCTAAGATAACAGGCATGAGCCATTGCACCCGGTCCCTGTGACAAAGGTATTAATTACTTCAGTCTAATACACAATTGTCACATAATTTTTAAAAATCCTTATTACTGCTATGAAAAATATTTTGCTTATTCCCACAATTTTAGTAAAGTTAGCACACTGGGAATCAAGAAAGTAGAGATTTAGATTCCTTTACTATTCAATTATCACATCATTAGACTTTAAGCACCGGCTAGCACAAATAGGAAGAAAAACAATTTAACTCAAAGTATTTTTGTCTATTTTAAGAAGGGATCAATATTTTGATGTCAGGTTCAACTTTAGTTAATATGGATTAATACATAATAATACCAAGTTTCTCTTTGTAATGTACACTTCATCTGGAAATTGATTTTATCATTTATTTAAAATATAAGTATATTCTTGGAATTATTTCTGGTGGAATAGCATCTGGAAACTGGTGTAAATGGGTTTCTCCACAGAACTGCTTCATCACTTGCGGCGGGGCCTGCTGTTTCTTCAGATGCACAGGCAGATTACTTCACACGGATAAATGCAAAGCAGCATTCCTTCCACCATGTGCCATAACCCCTCTTAAACGATATCTTCTTACACATTGATTTACATATCAATGGTCTTTAAAGAACTATGAAATATATAGTGCTCTTTTCAGTTAATACTCCATATATCCAAAACCTGTCCTATCGTATGTGGAAAAAGGTGGCCGCTCTGTTAAAAGTGCAATGCTGTTTTAACCAAGGAACAGATGTTTTCCCTAAAATAAGGTGTGAATTCCTTAAATACAAATGTGATGCAAGAGCCTCATGCAAAACTGAGTGACGTCCTCCACCATGAAATGATGCCCGGCCTGCAGTGTGCCAGGACAGCCTGCAGCAGTGCAGAGTAACTCCCAATGTCAGCATGCAGGACAACTGCCATTTTTACCAACCCAGCCAGCCACCAGGCTTTTGTACAAATTTAGAGGCTGCTCAGACCAACAAGCCACCTGCCTGAGGTTTTAATATTGCTAAGTCATGAGATCCCTGCTTCTATGGTCCATCCACTAGATAGAACAGCCCGGAGCAGTGGCTCCAACTTGAATCAAATGAAAGGCAATCAAATTCTAATCAAGTCAAATCCTGAGCTTAGTGCTGTAAATCACAGACAAATTTGCTGACCTAGCCAACAGGCCAGTCCCCTTTCATCCCATTCCTGCCCTATCTTGGCTTTCTGCCTTTTCCCTGAAACTGTAGCTTAGAACCCAGCAAGAACTGGGGCCGAGCCTGTTCAGCTGCAAAAGGTAGGCACCGAGCCTATGTAAATGAAGAGCAGGCCCTGTCAAAGTACTCTCCAGGTCAATCAAGTGGAGAACTGATTGACGTCAATTGGAGAATACTCTGACCAGGGCCTGCTCTTCTTTAACACTCATACCTGCATCTCTTTAATGCTGAGATCTTACTTTCCTATGGACTGTGTTCAACGGTGATCTCTTCATGTTATGAATGAGTCAGAATTATTCTGAGCTCTGACGGTGACAAATAGAATCTTGAGGGATCCCTACCCTCAATCAGCCTACCATCTAATTAAAGATTTGACTAAATCTTATATAATTACAGCTATCCTAAGAAAAGTATAATTTAAGGAATATTACTGTGTTTCAGTGATTCATACT
Organism: Homo sapiens; assembly: GCF_000001405.40. Taxonomy (NCBI): domain Eukaryota; kingdom Metazoa; phylum Chordata; class Mammalia; order Primates; family Hominidae; genus Homo; species Homo sapiens. Next base: position 32,178,073 of record NC_000012.12, on the reverse strand, counting down.
TCTAGAAATAACTCCTGCTTTTTTCCCCCATAAGATTTTAAAAAGTAAACAAAAATGCCCATAATCACAATCATATTAGCACAAAGTAGTCAGGGCCATAGAATGCATACTGCTTTGCAATCTGAATTTGAATTTAACATACATTCTAAACACACGTATATCACTATTTTTAACAGCTGCAAATAACTTTGGTAAGCTCATCTTTATGCTGGTTCCAATATTTTTATCATTAAAAAGTTTTTGCAATAAATATTTTATATTTTATATAAATATTTATATTTTTATAAATATTTATATATTAAATATATATTAAAATATTTATATATATTTTATATAAATATATAAATATATTTATATATTTATACTCTACTAAATCATTTAACTTTAATAATGTGTTTTCTTTATCCCTGTTTCCTTTTTTTGTAAACTCAACCCTCTACACCTCCCCTTAACCACCTCCGCCACTCCAGCCACGAAACCATGGTTAGCATGCCAGTGAACATCTTTCACATCTTTTCTTTTGCCTATAGAATCGCGAACATATACATACATGTTATTGTTTGTCTTACAAAATTTGGATTATACTATATACATTTCTGGGCAACTTGTGTGCTTCTTTAAAAAAAAAAAAAGTCCCAGAAACTCCTCCAGATCAACAGATAAAGATCTAACTCAAAATTATACCTATCAGCAAATTGTATAATAATTTAGAAAATCAAAGACACGATATTTTAGAAACTGTCATTCTTTTTTTTTTTTGAGACTGAGTCTAGCTGTGTTGCCCAGACTGGAGTGCCATGGTGTGATCTCAGCTCACTGCAATCTCCACCTCCCGGGTTCAAGAGATTCTTATGCCTCAGCCTCCCAAGTAGCTCGGATTACAGGTGCGCACCACCACGCCTGGCTAATTTTTGTATTTCTAGTAGAGATGGGGTTTCACCATGTTGGCCAGGCTGGTCTTGAACTCTTGGCCTCAAGGCATGCGCCCGCCTCAGCCTCCCAAAGTGCTGGGATTACAGGCGTGAGCCACCATGCCCGGCCAAAAAACTGTAATTCTTAAAGAATTTTGTAAAGTGACTTAATACTAGATAAAAAACAGTAAGTAACATATAACTACCCTATGACCCAGCAATTACACTCTTGGGAATTCACCCAAGAAAAATGAAATCATGTCCACAAAAAGACTGGTATATAAATGTTTAATAGTACCTTTGTTCCTAATAACTACAAATGAAAAATGACTCAAATGTCCATCAACAGGTAACTGGATAAACAAAAATGTGGGACATTCATACAATGGAGTGCTCTCAGCAATAAAAAGGAACAAACAACTGAGATAAACACAATAACACTGATGAAACTCGAAACCCTTACGATGAGTGAAAGAAGACAACACAAAGGAGTACATACTGTATGATTTGATTTGTATGAAATTCTGGAATAAACACTAATCTACAATGATAGAAATCAAAACAGTATGATAGAATGATAGAAATCAAAATCTGAGGGCAAGGAACAAGGGACTTTCTAGAATGATGCAAATGTTTCGTATCTTGATTGACGCAGTGGTTGTATACATGCATGTATACATGTGTCCAAAAATAATTGAACTGTACACTTAAGATCTGAGCATTTTATCATATGTAAGTTATACCTCAATGTAAATGATACCTCAATCATACATCAATAAACTGTGAGAAAAATGTTAAGAAAAGAGGAATAGGAACCCTCATACATTACTGCTAGAAATATAAAATGGTGTGGCCACTTTGGAAAATAGTTTGACAATTTCTCAAAAAACATAAAATGAACCACCAATTCCGCTCCTAGGTACCTACTGAAAAGAAATGAAAACATATGTCCACACAGAGACTTACATGTGAAGTTCACTGGAGCATTACTCATAATAACCAAAAAGTAGAAACAACCTACATGTCCAAAAACTAATGAACAGATACACAAAATGTAGTACATGCATACAAGGGAATATTATTCAGCAACAGAGGAAGAGAATACTGACACAGGCGACAACATAGATGAACCTTGAAAACATTATGCTAAGCGAAAGCAGTCAGACACAAAAGTTCACATATGGTACCATCTCATTTATATGAAATGTCCAGAACAGGCAAATCCACTGAAACAAGAAGTAAATTAACGATTGCTTGTGAATAGGGGTAAAGGTGCGAACAGGGATTAACTATAAATGGACATGAGAGATCCTATTAGGAGGATGAAAACGTTCTAAACCTGAACATCTATCGTTACATTACAGTTGCATCACTCAGTAAAGCTACTAAAAATTATTGAATACTAAAATCATCTTGAAATAGGTGATTTTTATGATATATAAAATATATTTCAATAAAGTTGCTTTTAAAAAGTTAAGGAAAAAATTGGGGGACCTTCCCAACGTATTTGGAACAGTAATCTAAGGATGTTAAAAGCTTAGAATGGGCTGGGATTGGTGGCTCATGCCTGTCGTCTCAGCACTTTGGGGAGGCCGAGGTGGGTGGATCACCCGAGGTCAGCAGTTGGACAGCAGCCTGGCCAACATGGCGAAATCCCGTCTCTACTAAAAATACAAAAATTAGCTGGGCTTGGTGGCGTGCACCTGTAATCCCAGCTACTCGGGAGGCTGAGGCAGGAAAATCGTTTGAACCCAGGAGGCAGAGGTTGCAGTGAGCCTAGATCATGACACTGCACTCCAGCCTGGGTGACAGAGCAAAACCCCATTTCAGAAGAAAAAGAAAAAAAGCTTAGTATGTGTTAGAAACACAAGGTAAAAAGAAGAAAAGGGAAAGTAGTGTAGATTGTTGAATCTCCTCTCAAACGCTTTTTCAGATATCCATTCATGCATTCATTCATTTGTCCTGCCAGAATGCTGGGGATAAACTAGTAAACAAGATAAACATGATCTACCTTGTGCTTACACATTCAAAAGAGAAAACAGACCCCAAAAGGTCAACTAATAAATGCTTGCAAATAATAAATGCTAGAAAATAAAGAGGAAAAAAATCAATAGCTTTGTCTTATAGTTACAATAACCAGATAGAATGGGAATTTTAAAATTCTATTTACAAGAAACTATAAAACATTTAGGAAAGGTATAGATCCTACATGAAAAAGACAACAAAACGCATATTTAAAATACTAAAAGAAGGTTTGAATAAACAGAAATACATACATTTCATGCTTGTGAATCAGAAGATTCACTCCAATTAGACTGCCAATGAGGTTTCAGATCTGAATGATTTAAGCGATTTAAAAATATGTTCATTGAAAAGTAAAGATCTGGAAATAACCAAGAAAATTATGAAAAAAATAATGAAAGGAGTAATTACTATTTTAAAATTTCCACTGAAGACAATGCTTTCACAGGTTGTGATACTGGCCTGTAAATACATCAGTGGGAATAGAACAGAAAATCTGGGAAAAGATGTGAATATAGACAAGAGATAGCAACTCATTTCATAGGGCAAGATAGTTTGATTATGCTGACACAATGGATGTTTAACTAGAAGAAAACAAAGAGTAATCCAATGGATTAATTTTTTCTCTTTTTTTTTTGGAGACAGGGTCTTGCTCTGTGGCCCAGGCTGGAGTGCAGTAGTGTGAACATTGTACACTGCAGCCTCAAACTCCTGGGCTTAAGCAATCCTCCCACCTCGGCCTCCCAGGTGGTTGGGACTACAGGTGTATGTCACCACGCCTGGCTCAGTGGATTACACTTTAACTGAAAAATACAATATTAAAACTTTAGAAGAAATTTAAGAATATTTCTATAACTTACCAACTGGCAGATGTTTTTGTGTTAAACAAAAAATAAAGACGCTAAAAAGGAAAAAACAGATACATCTGACTCTGTAGACATCATACATTTTATAAGACAAAAGATGCATAAAGCCCACAGAGAAAGAGTACAGAAGGGAAAGCTATTTTCAAGACAAAGTGATAATATTTATAATAGACAAAGAACTCCTATGAATTCACAGGGAAAACAATGAACTCTCCAAAACAGAAATGTGATGACAGCTTTTCATTTCTGTCATAAACAAGATTACAATATGTTCAAGATCATTATGTAAAAGCTGTCTCAGAACTCTGTGGGAAGAAGCAGAGTGGTGTGTTGTTTTGTTTTTGTTTCAATATGAAAATAGTTTCTGGAAATCTTGGTAAGAAATCATTTGTGGAATAAGCAATTCCTAAAGTGTTCACATTCATTTATCCAAAAAATGTTGACTGAATTCCAAAAATATACAAATTTCTTAGAGAAGTGTTTGATGAACACATCTGGCAACTATATATAAGTCTGAATACTTTTTCAGAGATGAAAATCAAAGTAAATTAAGTGGCTAATAATTTCTAGAAAGTTGAAGAATATTGGGTTTAGAGTGAAGAATTGCTGTCTTTGGGTGTTTTTTCTCTCTTTGAGCTACTGAACTGAGAAGAAGCAAAACTCTAAAGATGTTAAAACTAGGTGAACATGACTCTAGCCATTATTTTTTCGTTTTCTTTCTTAGAGAACATTTACCAGAATGATCACAATGTAAGCTACAGCTCTCATAGATAGCTGAGAAATAAGTGAACATCACGCTTACCTCAGCTACTCAGCAATGAATACTGAGTTATCCAATCAGGTCAGCAAGGCATCACTTTAAGGAATCCAGGTGAAAGTTTCTAGGAGTCGGACAAGGGATGGTGGTCAATTAAAACTCTGCCTGGGCCGGGCACGGTGGCTCAGGCCTGTAATCCCGGCACTTTGGGAGGCCGAGGCGGGCGGATTGCCTGAGCTCGGGAGTTTGAGACCAGCCTGGGCAACATGGTGAAACCCCATCTCTACTAAAAACAAACAAAAAAAATTAGCCAGGGGTGGTGGTGAGCCTTAGTCCCAGCTACTCAGGAGGCTGAGGCAGGAGAATTGCTTGAACCCTGGAGGCGGAGGTTGCAGTGATCCACGATCGTGCCACTGCACTCCAGCCTGGCGACAGAGTGAGACGCTGTCTCCAAAAAAAACAAAAAAAAAAACTCTGCCTCTGCCTGAACAGGGCGGGACTCCGGGGCAGTCAGCTGGGAGCTGAGCGGGCTGGTGAACTCAGGCACTTTATGTTGTTGGTATTAGTTGGGTTATGTTGTCAACCTGGTGATGCTGGTTTAACAACTGAAAAATGCCGAAAGAGAATAGAGGATAGCTTGGCTTAGGGCATAAACTGGAGTCAAGATTAATATAATTAATGTCTAGCATGGAATCTCCTTAAGAGCAAAGACCTTATCAGTCTTATTTAGCAGTGGATCCCCAGTTCTGGAACTGTGCCTGGCACATGGTAAGCACACAAATGAATGGATGAACAACCTGTCCTACCCAGGTCAGCATCTTCTGAGAGTAACACTGACCATTCATAAAAACCCTGGAGGACTAAACACTCTGGACTCCCCTATAAGTGCATGTCAGGAGTGACATAAGGGCCTGAGTCTTGGGAGCTTTCCACTCCTTTAAAACACTTAAAGCTGTGGGAATGACTGATAAGAGAATAGGGGGCAAGAGAGAACAAGGTGAATTCAACCAGATCTACCTGAAGCCTTGGGAAAGGCTCTAGATTCTGGATCTCTTACTACCTTTTCTCTGGAGGGCTTTTTCTTCACCATCAAAGTGTTAAGATCAGAGATTCAAGTGTGAGTTTAGAGTAAGGGAGCAAAGCAGCTTGCTTGCAAATCAATTTCCCTGCAAGACTCTAAGCTAAGGTTCCTTTGAGTGAAGGAAACTTGTCTTTTCATCTCTATATAACTAGTATCTGGTATAAAACCAAACTAGCCAATCCCTGTCACAAAAGATCCAGCTACTTGGGAACTCCAGTTAACCACAACCTATATCCTTCACTAGCACTGATTCCCTCTTCTTTCAGTAACTGATCATTCTAGACTTACCACATAGATACAAGCCAGACAGCAATGTGTGCATTCGTGCCCAGTCCTGAGTAGAAGCAAACAGAAAAGGAACGGAGGGAGAGGCAGAGAAAATTGATGCAAAGAAACAAGGAAGGAAAATCTGTCTTACTGTATAATGCTCAATGTCAGCAGTTTTAGTGTGTGTGTGTGTGTGTGTGTGTGTGTGTGTGTGTGTGTGTGTGTGTGTATTTTTTGAGACCAAGTCTTGCTTTGTTACCCAGGCTGGAGTGCAGTGGCATGATCTTAGCTCAGGGCAACCTCCGCCTCCTGGGTTCAAGCAATTCTCCTGCCTCAGCCTCCCAAGTAGCTGGGACTACAGGTGCACGCCACCATGCCCAGCTAATTTTTACATTTTTAGTAGAGACCGGGCTTCACCATGTTGGCCAGACTGGTCTCCAGCTCCTGACCTAGAGTGATCCATCCGCCTCGGCCTCCCAAAGTGCTGAGATTATAGGTGTGAGCCACTGTGCCTAGCCTAGTTTATAATTTTTTAAACATAAATATAAAAACCACCAACAAAGAAAAGCACTCATATTGCCATCTCAGTCATAGCAGGACTGTGGCATAGCCTTACTGTGTACTCCAGACAAGGTGCCCCAACTGAGGAACCACAGAAGAAGAACGCCCTGAAGGCTGTGTCTGCAGACTTGAAGTGATAAGGAAAGGAAAGCATCACCATCTAGCTCTGCATAAGAATACCTAGTGCCACGCTCCCCAGGATCCTAATTTACAATGTGATTCCATTTTTAAAACAACAGCAAAGCTTTATTTCCAGGTCCCACAGCATCGCCTTCGGGGCCCAGCTGTGACTCCAAGACCAGGCTGGCAGTCCTGCCACGCCCTGGAACACTGGCAGAGGGAAAAGGGCATGGGACACCAGGCATGTGTTACTAAGTCTCCCACCTGATCGTGACGTGTGTCGCCTCTGTTCACATTTCATAGGCCCAAACAAGTCAAGTAACCATGTCTGCTTTCAACAGGCGGGAATGTAGAATTTCTCTATTGAGAGGCATCCCCAGGAGGAGCAGTAAACTTCTAAGAACGGTCTATCATAATAGACATCTTTGTCTTGTTCTCAGTTTTGAAGGGAAATTTCTCATCATTTTGCTATATTTTAAGAATGAATTTGGGCAATTAAATATTAAATCTTATATTTGAAGGTCAGGTCACAAACTCCCTGGAGTCTGAAAAATGACAGGATTGGCTAGATCAGGGCTTCTCGTCCTCGGCAGTAGTGACATGCTGGTGTGGGGGCTGTCCTGTACACTGTCGGGTTCTTGGCAGCTTTCCTGACCTCCATCCCTAGAAGCCAGTAGCACCCACCTCAGTTGTGACCAAAAATATCTCCGGAAATAACCAAATGTCTCCCTGGTTGAGAATCACTGGACCAGATAATCTCTAATGTCATTTCAAACTCTGAAATTCAATGCTCCACTAATCTCTCCTCAAACTGATAAGACCCTTTGCCAAATTTTGGTCACATAAAATTATGCCAGCCCAAGAACTCTACAATCCGTACAGTGGCATTGTGTAAAAAAGACTTCACCTGCTGAGGACATAGAATCTAGATCCATGAGCCTTCTAATACGCTAACTACAATTCTATAACCTTTAAAGAGTTGAGTACAATGCAGAGAAATGACTAAATAATATTGTTGTAGAAGGTGAGGAATCAGGTCTTTTTATATAAGTAATGTTTAGGCTCTGGCCCAAGAAGGTTTTGTTCATAAGTGGCTCAGACATATTTTATTTATTGAATGTATATCCTGCCTCATTCCAAAAAGCATTTAAGGCAGCTTACAAAGAGGCATACAAAATAAAATGGAAAGGAAGTAAGAAAAATAGGGGGAAACAGGTAAGGAACAGAGAAAACAAATATTCCAATCCAAAAAGTCAATACCATTTCTGTGACTCTAGCAGTTATTTTTTCTTTTTCAGAGCATGAAACTGAGCTCAGAATTTCAGGATGCCTAAGAGAAAGTTGGAAATAAAATAATTAATTTGCCTTCTCAGAGAAGGGAATTATTTGCTAGTGAAACAAGGTTTTTCTTAGGATTAAACTCAGGGACAGGTTTCATGTGGGCCCTGTGTGGGGAACAAGTGTGAAAAGGACCCGTGTCAACTCCACATTCTCGCCTCTACAGTGTCACAGCTAAGCCTGTTCTTATATGAACTTTAAATACAATTTAAAAGCATAACTTTGAAACACAGTTTGGTGAAAGTGTATCTTGGGGGCCAGGCGCAGTGGCTCATGCCTGTAATCCCAGCACTTTGGGAGGCTGAGGCCAAGTCAGGAGGATCACTTGAGCCCAGGAGTTCAAGACCAGCCTGGGCAACACAGTGAGACTCTGTCTCAAAAAAAGGAAGTGTATCTTTGGAAGCTAAAGCCACATGGGTAGAACTTTTTAACAAAAGCTGTCCAGCGACCTAGGTTATCAAAGGATAATATATCATTTTCCTACAGAAATAATTTTTCAAAGTGTGGTTAGCAGAGAAAACTTTTCTTCAAAGAGAACCTTCTAGAAAAGTCTAGTATATAAAATGGGTCCAGGCTGGGCACAGTGGCTCACGCCTGTAATCCCAACACTTTGAGAGGCCGAGGCGGGAGGATCGCTTGAGCCCAGGAGTCTGAGACCAGCCTGGGCAACATAGCAGAGAGCTCGTCTCTACTAAGAAAAAAAAAATTAATGGAAAAAATGGGTCCAGGCCAAGCTGCTTCTTCCCTTCCTTTCACTCTCTCCCCTCCTCAGAAGGCCTCAGAAGGAGAACTGAATTCTCCTGTGGCAGAATTCAAAAGCCACTAGCCTGAAAATAAAACTTCAAATACCTAGAAAAGATTCAACAGTTCAATAAATATTTATTGTGCTAAGTATCAGAGTAGGTAAATTTTATCTATTATTTTTCTTGAAAATAATTTTTCCATTGATCTTTTTACGAGATAATTAACCGTTCCAGGTACAATTCCCCATCAGAGCCTGAGTGCTCACTGAACCCAGATCCTTAAACTCCACAGAGTTAATCACAGAGCCCACCTTCTACTACAGAAACTAAAGCTCCTGAGCAGATTCCATGCAGGGGCAAGGCTGTCCCATCTCCTCACAACAGATGGGCACAAAGCAAGGGTTTTTCTCAATGGTCAATTTTGGGTTTGTTTGTTTGTTTGTTTGAGATGAAGTTTCGCTCTTGTTGCCCAAGCTGGAGTGCAATCGCGCGATCTCGGCTCAATGCAACCTCCGCCTCCCGGGTTCAAGCGATTCTCCTGCCTCAGCCTCCCGAGTAGCTGGGATTACAGGTACCCGCCACAAACACCTGGCTAATTTTTGTATTATCAGGGTTTCACCATGTTGGCCAGGATGGACTCAAACTCCTGACGTCAGATGATCCACCTGCCTTGGCCTCCCAGAGTGCTGGGATTACAGGAGTGAGCCACCGTGCCTGGCCCTCAAGGGTCAACTTTGGATACACAGTGGACCCGATTAAGAGAGTGGTTCACATCCCAAGTTCCTGCCTTGCTCAGCATGGCTGAGACAGTTTGGGCCTGAAATGTTTTCAGCACAAATGTTATCAGTGATCGACCGCTGTTAGGACTTTCTGGTTCCTGTTCTCAGGCAACTGTTCTCACCTCAATCTCAAGGACACCCAACCCCACCCTCCCATCCTTTTCCCATGAAGCCCGGGTTGAAACCACTGAGCAGTTGGCTTCCATGCCTTGCCCTGGACCCTCATCTGCTTTTGCCCCTTAGTATGAACTGAGGGTCTTCAAAGAAATGACTCACCCAAGCCAAGTCTCACCATGTGAGTAGAAAACAAGAAACAAAACAAAATAAAAACACAGAACACAATCCAGTGTAATTGAACAAATATAGAACTAATTAATTTAGAGCAATCTGGTATTTCCCAGTTTACACAAGCAGTTTACATGTTAGAGAATGTCTACCAAAATTACCTTTATCAAAGTTGTGTTTTCCTTCTTTGCAAAAGATTGAAAAATAGAAATTTAAAAATATATCCAACTTTCAATCATAGTAACAAGCACTTATATAGGGCCTACTATGAGCCAGGCTTTGTTTAGGGATGAGATACACAAGTATACACACACACACACACACACACACACACACGCCATCTCCTTTTAACCTTCATGTTACCTGTTGAGGACATTATTCCTTTTTCAAAGATGAGGAAAATAATCACAAGGAAGTTAAGAAACTTCACTGAAGTCAAAAAGCTAGTTAGCGGTAGGGCTGAGATTTGGTACAAGGAAGCCTGGCTCCAGAATCTGTGCTGTTAACCACAACACAAAGCTGTTTCTGGGTTTCCCTCAATCACTTAGCACCCAGCAATAGGGAAATCCCTGTCAAATAAGAATGATAGGCCAGGCGCGGTAGGTCACACCTGTAATCTCAGCACTTTGGGAGGCCAAGGTGGGCAGATCACCTGAGGTCAGGAGTTTGAGACCAGCCTGACCAACATGGTGAAGCCCCATTTCAACCAAAAATACAAAAATTAGCCAGGCATGGTGGCATGCGCCTGTAGTCCTAACTACTTGGGAGGCTGAGGCAAGAGAATCACTTGAACCCAGGAGGCAGAGGTTGCAGTGAGCTGAGATCTCACCACTGCACTCCAGCCTGGGCGACAGTGCAAGACTCCGTCTCAAAAATTAAAAAAAAAAGAATGATTCTCAGCCACTTCCCAGTTATTGCTATGTGCTCATAGAAAAAGAAACAATTTTAAAGTCTAAGCAAAACACAAATATGTATGAATAAGTTCAGCAAAAACAAATCCTATCATCCAGTCTATCATAAATGCATCATTGCTTTGCTATCTCAGAATATTGATAAGCAATTTATTTTTCATTTTTATTTCATTCTAATAACAGAAAGCCACAGCATTCCACACACTCATGAGTTAGGTAATAGCTGAAAATATCTGATTATTTCATGATCTAGATAATCTAAACTTGACTCTGGAAAATAGAAGGGAACATTTAGAATTTATAATATAGAATCAGAAGCTTCCTGAATCGACTTAAAACAAGTGAATTATGTTATTATAAAGGCAATACGTGTTATGGTGGAAAAATTTAAAATCTAGGAAACAAAGTTAAAACCCATTACCCAAGGATAACCAATGCAAACATTGTGTGTGTATCTTTTCAATTTTATTTCTATGTTGATACTAGCTACCACTTATTGGGCATCTAAAGATTGTCAGGCACCATGCCACATCCTTACTGATGTTTTCTTATTCAATTTTCACCAAAACCTATAAGGCAAGAGACACTATTATGCCCTCTTTTTTGTAACTGAGTCTTAGAGAGGTTGAGAACTTGCCTTCGGTCAAGGATTCCAATCTGGGACTACATACGGTACAGGGATTACTGATGCTATGATCTCACTGAGACAGGCGCCTGTCTGTAATCCCACATCAGGCACTGTGCTTGGTAGAGGCTTACAAATGTGGACAGCTTTATTCTCCCCTAGTCTTATCCCTTTTATTCATTTAAATACAGGTTATCAGGTTTACTTTAACTCAAGCTTTCTCAGCCTGGGCACTACCGACATTTGAGACTGGATGATTCTTTCCTGTTGGCTGTCCTGTGCAGTGTAGGATGGTTAGCAGCACCTCTAGCTTCTACCCACTAGATGCCAGAAGCATCCCCCCAGTTGTGACAATCAAAAATGTCTCCAGATAGCCTGGCGCGGTGGCCCACACCTGTAATCCCAGCACTTTGGGTGGCGGAGGCAGGTGGATCACCTGAAGTCAGGAGTTTGAGACCAGCCTGACCAACGTGGTGAAACCCCGTCTTTACTAAAAATACAAAAATTAGCCAGGCATGGTGGCAGACGCCTGTAATCCCAGCTACTTGGGAGACTAAGGCAGGAGAATCGCTTGAACCCAGGAAACAGAGGCTGCAGTGAGCCGAGATTGCGCCACTGCACTCCAGCCTGGGTGACAGAACGAAACGCTGGCTCCAAAAAATAAATAAATAAATAAATAAATAAATAAATAAATAAATAAATGTCTCCAGACATTGCCAAATGTCCCAGGGAGAAGGAGTAAAACAGCTCTGAACTGAGAAGTATGGCAGTTTAATAAAATCTCTACAATCTCTGCTTCATAGTATGATCAACATGGTCTGTTCACTGAGATAGGCCTTTTTCGTAATTCACAGAAACAACTCAAGAAAGAGTAACAATAATTTTCCACTTAGAATGAGCCCCTTTAGGACTCCTGAACAGTTCCACAGGTACTTCTCTATGGTTTTGAGGTGTTCTGCATTGTTTTATCATGTTTTGCTTTTGAACAGATGAATCCTTGCACATCTTCAAACCCGCTGAGTTGGAAATGAGTTTGAGGCAAGGTTTCGTTGCCTAAAACCAAATCCTCTTGATAAATGAGTTTTGACAGAGCATCAACTCAAATACTTTTTTTTTTTTTTTTTTGAGACAGAGTCTGGCTCTGTCACCAGACTGTAGTACAGTGGCGCATCTCAGCTCACTGCAATCTCCGACTCCCTGGTTCAAGCAATTATCTTGCCTCAGCCTCCCGAGTAGCTGGGACTATAGGCACGCACCACCACGCCCAGCTAATTTTTGTTTTGTTTTGTTTTGTGACGGAGTCTCGCTCTGTCGCCCAGGCTGGAGTGCAGTGGCTCGATCTCGGCTCACTGCAAGCTCCGCCTCCCGGGTTCGCGCCATTCTCCTGCCTCAACATCCCGAGTAGCTGGGACTACAAGCGCCCGCCACCACGCCCGTCTAATTTTTTTGTATTTTCAGTAGAGACGGTGTTTCACCGTGTTAGCCAGGATGGTCTCAATCTCCTGACCTCGTGATCCGCCCGCCTCGGCCTCCCAAAGTGCTGGGATTACAGGCATGAGCCACCGCGCCCGGCCAACTCAAATACTTTTAAACAAACCTGTCCAGTAAATCCTGGAATCTCTTTTCAAATATCTCTTCTAGTAACTCTAGTCTTTCCCCTCCTAATATTCCATTTTCCTAATCCATCTTTATTGTAATTCCTCTGAGCTCTCATGTGAACCTCAGGCTCTCAAGGAATATTTTGCCCGATTTATCATGGTCCCTTCTGGATCTTTCTCGAGAGACCTCCCTGTGCTTCAGCAAAGCAGAGCAGTGTCAGCTAATTAGGGCAGTGTCAGGCACGGGCATGACCCCAGATGAGCCACTTCACCCGTGCTGTCAGGATGCGCAGTTGTCAGGGAGCTCATTAAAAATAATTTTGATGAAGAGTACAAACACTGACAATTGGCTCCTGTGACCTTCTAAAATCCATTTTACCTCTTGAATGTCTTTCTTCCAGTAGTCACACTGCTTCCTAGAGTGTTAGTGGATTCACTTTTGTCCTTAGAGGCCCTTGAAGAACAATCTTTCTCTTTAACTATCTACGTGCTGTTGAAAGGGGTTTCTGAATCCAGACTGTAATGTGCCCCTTTGACCCTCACAACTAAGGAAAAGATAGGGAGGGACAGGTTATATTTGGCTTTCTCTAAGTACCCTACTTGCCTCCATAACAAATACCATAAAGTTTCATTTACCTGCAGGAAATAATCCCAATCCATTTACTTTCCTCCATGCAGTGGAAATTTTGCAGTCTAAAATACTGAGTAGTTTGACGCCAATAAAAAAGAGAAAGAGACAAAGATAGGATTGCGTGGTAGTAAACTTTCTTTAGTCTTTCACTTTTGAACCATATATTCTGATTTATTTTCAGTTTACAGGGTGGAAAGAACTGATTTTTAAGTGCGCTAATGAGAATTGGGGCATAATAGCATGGCCATTAAAACTGCAAAGATTCCTTAAAAAATATAACAATAAATCAATACCATTGGTAAACAAGATACATTCTATACATTATCAGGATAATTAACACAAGCTGCTATAATAGACAAATCTGTAAGTCTCAATGATTTGACTCAACATCAGTCTAGGTAAAGTTGAAAGTAGACTGGTAGTTCCTCCTCCAACTTATAGCTGTGACATTCGCCATATGCCACTTCTAAGTTCGTTTCACTAAGAGAAGAAGGGAAGAAAGGAAACACACGGGAGATGGAGGCTGCAGTGAGCTATGATTGTGCTGCTGCACTCCAGCCTGGAAGACAAAGTGAGACTCTGTCTTAAAAAACAGAAAATAAAAAAAAAATTTTGAAATTTGATAGTTTTTAATTTTGGCTTTAGCATATTTAGTTGAAAAAGACTAGTCCAAAGCTTCATGAACATCTCTTACACATGTGAAATGATAACGCAGGGGTCTTGGGTTCTGACCATTGGCCTGTGAGTGGTACTAGTGGATTCTGTTCATGGGCCACTGACTCATATCAGTCTCATGATTCTAACTCAACAAAACAGGAAGGCAGGAAATAGAAAGGGCCACATGGAATATTTGGTGAGCACCAGAATCTATGTTCCAAAGACATGACTACAATACTGGAAAACGGGAAACAGCAATTTTTATATTTTTATATTTCATATAATAAAAGACTATCAAGCCATTAAAATGTTTTCCAAGAATATTTAATGGCACAGAAACATGCTCATAATACAGTCTTGAGTGAACAAGCAGGATACCAAACTGAATACATAATGTCTTCCTAAAAAGTAAGGATATGCAAGAAAAACACTAGAGGAAAATATCACTTTGCTACCAACAGCCCTGTAGAGTGGGATTATAGGTGATTTAATGTTATTCTCTATACACTTGTTTATTGTCAAATTCTCCACAATAAACATGTATTAGTCTTATAATAAAAATATTATTAAAGAAATAAGAATTTATATCATTCAAATAAAACAGAAGTACCTATCCACCTCAGTACCCTAGTACATAATAAACCCTCAAATGCTGCATAAATTAATGAAAAGAAGGCAGGAAGAATTAAATAATAAAATGTTATATGAAAATCTATTATAATGAAAATCGTTCTCAATTTGGGGTTGCTTAGGTGTGGAGCTAATAAAAAGCAAGTAGAAATACTGGAACAATCCTCAGAACTCAAGACCCCTGCGTTATCATTTAACATGTGTAAGAGATATTCATGAGGCTTTGGAAGAGTCCTTTTCAACTAAATATGTTAAAACCATAATTTAAAATTATAAAATATCAAATTTTTTATTTTTTATTTTTTTAAGACAGAGTCTCACTTTGTCTCCCAGTCTGGAGTGCAATGGCACAATCATAGCTCACTGCAGCCTCCACCTCCCAAACTCAAGCAATCCTCCTGCCTCAGCCTCCTGAGTAGCTGGGACCACAGGCACATATCACTACGCCTGGCTAATTTTTTTGTTTGTTTTTAGCAGAGCAAGGTCTTGCTATGTTGCCCAGGCTGGTCTCAAACTCCTGAATTCAAGCGATCCTCCTGCCTCGGTCTGCCAAAATGCTGGGTTTACAGGCATGAGCCACCATACCCAACCTCAAATTTTAATTTTTAATTAAAGAATCTCCGTTTCCTGCCAGGAAAACAAAAATTTGAAGAATAAGGATTGGAAGTATAATAGCTAACCTCTATTGATGAATTACCATTAGCCAGGCACTCTGCTAGGCATATCGTACTGTTTTTCTTATTTATTCCTCAAAGCCATATTTTGAAGAAAGATGATACCCATTTTATAGATATGGAAATGGATTCCCATAGAGGTGGAAGAGGATTTGACTTCAGACAGCATCACTCTGGAGCCCATACTTAATCACTGCCTCATGTCATTTATCCATGTCAGTTATTTTTTGGCACTGAAAAATCTTCGCCTATATTACATTCTTCCAAAGACTGTTAATGGAATGTAAGCTTTAAGGAAGTAGAATAGATACAGTAGATTGGCACTCAACATCCATTCCAACTTCTTTCTGTAAGCCTTCTTTCCAGCAGAGGCTGGAATATTAAAACCTGCACATTTCATACTCCTTTGCAGCTACATTTCTGAGGGTGGTTTAGAATCCACCAATCAGACACATGCCTGTGGGATTACAAAGGGGGATGTGAGACCGAGGGATGGCTGTTGCTGCCATCAAGCCTGCTCACGAAGGCACTTCCCTTCTCTGTGATGGTGCTACCAGAAGTTGCAGTGTCCATTCCCTTACTTCATGGGTGCTGACGGGTATGGTAAGGGGCATTCCTTTGCTGGTTCTGGAACCTGCGAAAGTATCTGCAGTTTCCTGATCTTGACAGCTTTTTTTTATTATGGCAGTGTTGGTATAACTCTAAAACTGGCAGCTTCCCAATATGAGAAAATTGAACAAAAATTCATGAAAAGTTAGAAAATTATTCAAAAAATATTCATCCAGTGCCTTCTATGCCAGGTGATAGACATGGCATAGAATGACAAATACAATGACAAGTAAAATATATACTTCCCTGCACTTAAGAAGCTTACAGTCTAGTTGAGGAAGCAGAAATTAACAAAATAACTATATGAATTCAATTCTGATTATATTTACAATCTCTGATTGCTCTTCAAGTTCTGCCTGCTTCCATTACATCTTATTCCCTGGGCAGTGGATACCATCAGGCATTTCTAGAATTCACAATTCACTGAATGTTTGGTCCACTTTATTGATCTTAACCTTCAAACTATGGTAAGTTATGATCAGGAGTTTAGATATCAAATAAAGACAAATTGAAACTGGTAACGATAACAATGTAAAACATCCAAGACTTTCTCGGCCAATGGCTATAATTCAACAATTACGGTTAAGTAAAACTGTTCTCTCCTAAAGATGAAGAAAAAAATACAATCATGATGTCAGTGCTGTGGAAATAATTGGTCATATTGACATACCATTAACGGAGTCTGTGTCTCTGGTTGAATCATATTGATTTCACTAATGTTCTTTCTAGTGTCAGCTCCCTTTCATTTGTTATACGGCATGCCATCTTTCAGCCTGGAGAGATTACTACTCAGCACTATGATGGGCAATGATTTGACAAGGAGTGTTTTCAGGCTAAGATCTTTTACCATGTTGGGGGCTCAGTAAGTCATGTTAAAGATTGCATTTAGGTGAGTCTCAAGACATAATGACATTTATATCACTTTTCTTTCCGGATCTGAAGAAGTTATAGGCAATATTAGATATTAGTGTGTCATTAAGGCTTCCAGACTAAAGGTTAAGATATTGCTCAGAGAGCCACAGAGTTAACCTATTCTGTATAAATGTGTGTTTTTAATGAAGTTAGATATTTACAAGGTTATATCATAGTCTTGCTGCACATAAAGCAAATTTAGATAGTGCTTAAGTACAATTGAAATATTATCTACCTTCATGTGTTAAGTTTTAATAAGAGGGGAAAAAACAAAACACACATGTGTGTATCTGTGTATGTGTGTATGATACCTGAAACTTAATAAAAAATGTTTCAACAGTCACAAACAGGAATATCTACCCACCTTACTACCTTGTATATAATAAACCCTAAATTGCTGCATGAATGAATGAATATAAGACAGAAAAGCAATTTTAAGGGGCACCACTGTATTTCAAGATGATTCAGATTTTCATATCAGATGATAAGGAATAAAAGTAATTTGAATCAGTTAGCTCTTATTTACCACACTTGATACTGAAAAACACTTTCCACCTGGTTTTCAGACTGTATTGAGGCTCCATTAAAAAAAAAAAAGTGAGGCACTTCCATTTCAAGATAAATGAACATTGCCTCTCCAAGAGTGGTTACATTTATTTTAGCCATATTTGTGGAAATATTTCTAAAGTATACAATAGAATTTTTAAGCTAGCTTAGCTAACGATGGCTTTACATTTTAAAGATAAAACCTTTTCTTAACAACCTGGAGAATTATAAACATCTTGTCAAAACAGGCCATGGAAGGCATGCTAGCAGAGATTCCCTTGCTGTGGGGACATCTCTAAGGGATTAGCCGAGGCTGCCTGGCAAAGGTGGGCTTGGTTCCAGAAGTGAACAATATCCAGAGTGAGCTATTCCAGTAGCTGGGACATGGCCGTGGGAGGGGTAGCAGCTACCATTTGCTGAATACTAAGTATGTGCCAGACTAAACCACATGCTAAGTATGTGTTAGATGCCATATGCGTCATCTAAGGGCACAACAACAGGATATTATTATCCCTATTTTGTGGGTGAGAAATTTGAGGCTTAGAGAGTTAAATATTTGCTGAGAGTGAATATGAACTAGGAAATGGTGGAGACCAGATTCAAACCTCAGGCTGTCAGGCCCAAACCATCCTAAAGAAGGAAAGCTCTGGGTCCAAGGCAGGCAGTTTTGTAATTTCTCTTGAAGGAGAACCCAAACTACAGGTAGAAATTAATTGTCTTCTTTCCTCTCCAGGAAGGGTATGGCAAGATAAGTGGAGAAGAACGTTAAGGCACCAGGTAAACAGGTGGGAATCCAACCAGAGCCCCAGTTCAGGAGGATGGTCAACATGATGACTCTGGCTTGGGGACACAAACACCCAGTAATGACGGACACACCAAATACCGGGTCTCTGGCAGCCAAACAATTCCAGAATCGCACCTGCTGGCGAACTGATTCTCTCTGCACATTTCTCGCCAGAACGTTCCTTTGGGACCAAGTGGTTGGTGCTGTATTAATAGACAAAGGATAGTAGTGGCTGAAGCTGAACAGGACTGAGAGGACACAGTTCTTACACCATGCTATTATAGTGATGCCTGAAAGGGGTCCTGGGATGTGCAGTGTGTTATTGTGTCTTCCTTAAATAGCCCCAGACAACTATGCTTTTTATAGTATTTCTCTCTTCCATCCCTCATGGCCTACTAGTAGTCACTTTTTGCTGTCAGCATGCCTGAAGAGCAGATTCTGTGTCCCCTACTCTCTCCACATGGCTTCTCAAAAAAATACACATCTTCGCAGCTAGTTTATATGCTAGGAAACCGATAAATCAAACGTTTGATGAGCCAGGTGCGGTGGCTCACGCCTGTAAATCAGCACTTTGGGAGGCCAAGGTGGGTGGATCACATGAGGTCAGAAGTTCGAGACCAGCCTAGCCAACGTGATGAAACCCCGTCTCTATTAAAAATACAAAAATTAGCTGGGCATGGTGGTGCGCGACTGTAATTCCAGCTACTCGGGAGGCTGAGGCAAGAGTATTGCCTGAACCCGGGAAGCGGAGGTTGCAGTGCGCTGAGATTGTGCCACTGCATTCCAGCCTGGGCGACAGAGCGAGACTCCATCTCAAAAAAAAAAGTTTGATGGCGTACAAATAACCATACAAGTTATTGGCCCCCCTTTCACGCACTCACTCAACAAGCATTTCTTAAGCATGCTTAATCAAGAGTGGCAAGTGCTGTGCAAGGCCCTAGGAAAACAAAACCAAAGAACACAATTTTTGCCTTTGAAGGGCTCACAAACCAATGGAGATGGAGAGGTGGGAATGTAAATTTCACACTGCAGGATGCAGCAGAGGTTCTAACAAAGCTCTGCATAAGTGTGAAAGCCACATGAGAAGGAAGCAAAGCCATTCATGAGAATCACAGATGACTGTCCACAAATAAAGTACATGGGCTTCTCTCCACACAGGAAGAGGGAGCAAGTCTGCCACCTTCAGAGTTCCAAGAAAAAGAATAGCTAATATTTGTTGAGTGTTTCCTATATACCAGAGGTATTCTTTCCACATATTAACTCACTTAATTTTTTTTTATTTTAAATTTTTAAATTTTTCTTTTTTATACAGGCAGGGTCTCACCGTGTCGCCCAGGCTGATCTCAATTCCTGGGCTTGGGCCAGGCACGGTGGCTCACGCCTGTAATCCCAGCACTTTGGGAGGCCAAGGTGGGCAGATCACTGGAGGTCAGAAGTTCAAGACCAGCCTGGCCAACATGGCAAAACCCTGTCTCTACTTAAAAAGTACAAAAATCAGCCGGGCATGGGGGTGGGCGCCTGTAATCCCAGCTACTCAGGAGGCTGAGGCAGGAGAATCGCTTGAACCCGGGAGGCGGAGGTTGCAGCGAGCTGAGATTGCACCACTGCACTCCAGCCTGGGCAACAAGAGTGAAACTCCATCTCAAAAAAAAAAAAAAAAGAAAAAAAAAACCCCTAGGCTCAAATTATCGTCCTGTGTAAGCCTCCCAAAGTGCTGGGATTACAGGTGTGAGCCACTGAGCCCAGCCTCATTTAATTCTTAAGAAAACTTAAAGGTGTTGCTTTTTTAAAAATTTCATTTTACATCTGGAACCTGAGCCACAGAAAAGTTAAGTAATTTGCCCAGGGTCTCACAGCTAATAGTGGGGAGCCAGGACCTAAACAGGCAGTCAAATTCCAAAGACCACACCTTAACCAAGAAACTGTATTACCACCTCCAACCATCAGCACACTGCAGTGAATACGTGGAAACATTTAAAATATGGGAATAGGTTAAAAGTAAAATCTCTAAGGTAAAATTCACTAAGCTTTGGCCAAAGACAGAAAAAAGGGGGAAGAAGAGGAAAAGTAGGAAACCAGCTGTCATGCTGAGAGGATGAAGGGAATGGTGGCAAGGAAATTTGGGGTTAGGTGGCCCCTGCAACCACCCAACAGGTATCCTTGGGCACCCAGGAATCTTGGTAGCTTCCAGAAGAAGCAGAAAGGGTGGAGAGCACCCTTGATTGATCACTTTTAGTATTTACACATAGAGTATGTGGACCTCTGTTTGCCTGCTTGCTCCAGCCCCCCAGAATCTTTAGGAATGTGTCTGAAAATTTGTTAATACAAAGTATCCAAAAGTAATCATAATAATACACCTGCATTTGCTCTACCAACATTTCATCCCTTCAATAGAGGGTAAACTCCTTGGCATTTGTACAAATGGGACTGGATTCTTCATTAACGTCTGCATCTATAATAAAGGGTAGTATTAAAAGACATGCATTAAAAAATTAAATTCAAATTGACACACAAAAGTAGGGATCAAGTACTTATCTCTGAAAATAAGACTCTGGACTTAATTATAATAGACAAGAGTAATTTCTAGACAGTTTCATCTCCTGAATCAATATCAAATATTTTCAAAACTTGTACCATTAACATCCAATTTTATTATTTTTTAAGCCTATGAAAACCAGACCTTTGATTTAGAAAAATAATAACGAGCACATGTAATTATGCCAGTAATTATATCCCAGGCAACAGTTCAAAGTGTTGTATATTTACTAACTCATTTAGTATATGCTTATATGTGTATGTATGTGTTATAAAATGTATGTGTGTTATACATATATATATGAAAAACAATTTTACAGAATTTTCCTGTTTGGAGAGGAGAATTCAAACAGTTGGAATGTTTCTTGACCACTAGTAATTTTCAAATAATATATGAAGAACATAAAATGCAGCTTTGCCTGCTTCTAGGATTGTTCCAAGCAGTTCTCTTGGCTGATCTAAACATGAGTGTTCTGCAATACACACATCTCCTCCGTGGGGTAAATAATACCAAGCATAGGGATGCCATCATGGCACTATTTCAAAATGTAAACTTGACAGCCAGTTAACAGCTCTTCAGGAAAGAGTAATAAGTACCTGGAGCCCAGAAGACCAAAAAGCAAATGTCAGAATTTTAGGGGAAATGATCTAGGTTGCTCCCAAAATGCTGTTCACGGTGATCTCCCAGAGAGTGCCTCATTCTGAGTCAATATAACCCTAATGTGCTTTCCTTCAATTACTGTAAGCATATCCTGAGATTTCAGTAATGTGACAGCTGGTAACCTGAGCCCCAACTAAGACTGCCCTCGGCTATATCTCTTTATTAATTCATCCCGGGAGCTGGAATTGAGCTATGCTGAGGAGCAGAGAAAGTGGCATTGTGTCCTCCCTGACAAAGCAGGGCAAGTGCAGGCACCTCACACACAGAGGTATGTTTGTCCCACCATTCAAACAGAGCTGCTTGCCTGCTGCCTGAACTGTAGCGTGCCTTGACACTGCATATGAAACGCTGGAGGAGCAATAATATCTATGTGTGCAATTTTATTGCAAAAAGGCCTGATTCTGCTGTTGTCTCTTTACAAATGTCTGATAATCCACTCCTGTCACAGACTGACAAGAGCTGCTACTTCATTTCCAGCTGTTGGGGAATACCTCAGGAGAATACTTATCTCTCAATGGGCAGCAACAGCAGGGCTATTTCAAGACCTCACTCCATTGTAAAGGTGTTATGTGTCCACACAGATCTATAAATCACCATGCAACATCTTTCCAGAAGTATGTGCTGGTCTGCAGAATTGCTAGATATGTCCAGGTGGGCTGGGATCACTGGAAAGGCCTGGTACATCTTGCCTGACAGCTAATTTAAATGGCTCTTTTAGGGTTACGTGTCATAAGAAAGGGGGAGATAACTTTAAAAGATTATAAATCACTTTTATAAAACCACTTAATGTAAATGACTATATCTTAATATCTTAACAAATGTTGCTCCCAATTTTTTTTATGTTTTAATGCAACTGAAATCTGAAAGCATTTTCTTATTTTCCCTTTTTTTCTTTCAGGCAATTTGAGGCACAAACAAGTGTAAAAACCAAGGAAAGGTGCAGCTGCTTTGCTATTATATAGCAACAAAAGCGATCTCTTTGTATTTTACAAGAACTTTCCTTTCTCTGTAGCATTTTGTTTTACAATAAACAAGTATTTTTGACTTTGAGATGTTCTTACTTCAAGGAAGACGGCTGTACTTTAATCTGTGAGAAACCTAAAAGATGAGTGCCTGAACTAGATATCATGATTTTAAAAATTTAGCTGAAATCCTCAGCCTATTAAAGGTTCAATTTGAATCTCCATAGCTGGACAGCTGAAATTCTCCTTTTTGCATATCAATTAGATTTAGTCTCTCTACCTTATGGCATTACCATTCACAGATGGTTACTCCAGGGATGGATGCATTTCAGTAACAGTTTGAAATGCCCCTGGGTAATAACAAGTGTAAATGATTGCTTGTGCCGTTGAAATAATGCAATAAGACTGTCAGTGGCCGATGGAGTACAGCTGTGGACGAAGTCTACACTTGCTTCTAGGGCCTTATCTACACTGTGGATTTAAAAACTTAAAATACATTTATTAACTGCAAAAATAATAAATGTCATTCAAATAACTGGATTTTTTTAAAACCACAACTTACTGAAAAAAAAAAGCAGCACTTCAGAGTAAAAAAAGCAAAAAGGTTGACTTCACAGATGCTTATTTTTCTGTCTAATTGCAGAAACAATGTGGGGTAAAATGTTTGAATCAGAGGAAAAACTGACGAGGGATCATTTTAATTGGATACAGGATAAAGCAGGAGGTTTATCGACAACCCATCAATAAAGATACCATTTAGTGTATGATTAAGGTGACTTTGAGTACCAGGCTATGCTAGATTTTGTACAGGATACCAAAGACATTCCTCCTCCTAAGAAAATGAACATCTACTTTGATAGAAAAGACTTCATTTATACAAGACAATATATAGTCAAGTATTGGGTTATAAGCAGTAGAGATAAGAGAACAGGAATTTGGAAGGAAAGAACACCACGAGCTACATTCATTGGGAATGCTTGGTGGAAAAGGTGGTTCTCAAGGCAAGTTAAGGAAGAATTTTCAGCAAGACCTGCAAAGTCATAAAAATGAGTACGAATGTGACAGATAAGGAGACACTGGCTGCTCAGAATTCAGGACTCACACCAAGTAATGGTGAGTGCTACATGCCAGACTAAGGAGCTTGACTGTCAAGAGGAGGTTGCTGACAAAAGTGGGAGTTTAAGTGGTGTTTAAAGAACTGATCTAACAGTGGTGGGTAAGAGGCACTGGGAAGAAAACCAGAGCAGTGATTCTTAACCAAGAGCACGTATCAGAATCATCCACGAACAGCTCTCCAATAGACCTCGCCTTTTATTTTTCAAGATTTTCTTGTCACTCCAGAGAGTCTACGGAGCCCAGAACATATACATAAAGTAATAAAAAAAGGGTTAGACCCAAAATATTGAGAACTGGAAAAATCATAATATTAACTTTATCATAATGAACTTAGAGAAGTCCATCAAAAAAATCTTAGAGTTGGGTGAGTCTTTTGTCTGTTTTTTGCCTGCACAGCAATAACTTGTTAGGCAACTGGGTGACATGCTTAATTCTCTCCAAAGTGAGAGTCCCTTTCCCGTCTGCAACTTTATAAAAGCTCATCCCTGGGACTCTCCCAGGAGTATACGACAATAAACAATGTTCACATGGCTACCGCAAGCATTCAGTGATGGTGACCAGACCAGAGTTGGTTAGCCTTGATTCCAACCCCTGATTTCAAGCATTGGAGGGCTAATAAACATCATATATACATGATGTTTATTACATATATATTATATATATTAGATATGTAATATATATGTATTACATATATACACACACACACACACATATATATATATGTACACACACATATATATACAAAGTCTGGCTCTATCACCCAGGCTGGAGTGCAGAGGCACAATCTTGGCTCACTGCAACCTCTGCCTCCCAGACCCAAGCCAGCCTCCCACCTCAGCCTCCTGAGTAGCTGTGACTACAGGTGCACGCCATCATGCCTGGCTAGTTTTGTATTTTTTGTAGAGATGAACTTTCGCCATGTTGCCCAAGCTGGTCTTGAATTCGTGAGCTCCAGTGATCCACCCGCCTTGGCCTCCATCTTAACTGATTTAATGTTCTTGGGTTTCCTCTTCTGCCAGGTGGGCCTTGTTGACTCACTTAACAAGAATAGTTTCAGGTATATATCCGTAAGAAAACAAACCACTCTATTAATACCAAAAAGACAAGGGCACTCACATGTTTATCGCAGCACTATTCACAATAGCAAAGACACAGAATCAATTTAGGTTCCCATCAACAGTGGCTTGGATAAAGAAAATGTGGTATATAAACACCATGGAATTCTATGCAGCCATAAAAAATCAAAATCATGTCCTTTGCAGCAACATAGATGCAGCTGGAGGCCATTATTCTAAGCAAAGAAATGCAGGAAAAGAAAAACAAATACCGTATGTTCTCACTTACAAATGAGAGCTACACATCAGGTACTTATGGACATAAAGATGGCAATACTAGGCACTAGGGATGCCTAGAGGTGAGAGGGAGAGAGGAGAGCAAGGGTTGAAAAACTACTGTATACTATGCTCAGTGTCTGGGTGATGGGACCATTCATACCCAAAACCTCAGCATGACACGATATACCTCAGTAAAAAACCTGCACATGTACCCTCTGAATATAAAGTAAAAGTTGGGGGAAAAAAGAGCAGTTTTGCTACTGAAGCTTCTGGAATGTAACTGAACAACCTTTTCTCAGATCCAGCTATTGGATAAGAAATCAAATCCAGCCATACGTGGCTGTGTACTTCTTTGACTATATTATTATCATATTAAGTAGACTTGATTTCTTAAAAAGAAAATAAAAGGTTATGACATATGCCTATAGAAATAATTCCATAAATAAAAGAATTTATTCTAATGTTGCTCAAATCTCTATGTTTTGAGGGTTGGGCCTCAGCAGCCAAGTTTATATATATAAATGTCTCCCTGGTTATAGAAGAATGGACCAGAAGCAAACACCTGGTCCCTGGTGGGCCAATCAATTTCTCTCTCCCTGACAGCTAGAATTGAAATTTGAAAATACCAGCCTCAGCCAGGTGCATTGGCTCACGCCTGTAATCCCAACACTTTGGGAAGCTGAGGCAGGAGGATCACTTGAGGCCAGGAGTTCAAGACTAGCCTCAGCATCATGGCAAGAAAATTAGCTGAGCATGGTGGCATGCACCTGTAGCCCTAGGTACTTGGGAGGCTAAGACGGGAGGATCACTTGAGCCCAGGAGTTCAAGGTTAAAGTGAGCTATGATCATGCCATGGCACACCAGCCTATGTGACAGAGCAAGACTGTTAAAAAAAAAAAAAAGTTAAAAAAAACTAGTCTCTGCCTGTAATCCCAGCACTTTGGGAGGCCAAGGCAGGTGGATCACCTGAGGTCAGGAGTTCAAGACCAGCCTGGGCAACATGGCGAAACCCCATCTCTACTAAAAATACAAAAATTGGCCAGGCATGGTAGCGTGTGCCTGTAGTCCCAGCTACTCAGGAGTCTGAGGCAGGAGAATCACGTGAACCCGGGAGGCAGAGGTTGCAGTGAGCTGAGAACGCGCCACTACACTCCAGCCTGGGAGACACAGCGAGACTCTGTCTCAAAAAACAAAAACAAAAAACAACAACAACAAAAAAACAAGTCTCTGCTGACTGCTTGAACTGAAGACATCTAGT
Organism: Homo sapiens; assembly: GCF_000001405.40. Classification (NCBI taxonomy): domain Eukaryota; kingdom Metazoa; phylum Chordata; class Mammalia; order Primates; family Hominidae; genus Homo; species Homo sapiens. The sequence goes on along the minus strand of NC_000012.12, from coordinate 32,151,900 downwards.
CTCAGGAACTGTGAAGCCTCCATCTTCCACTATGGCCACAGGGAAGGAGAAAAAGGGAAACTGGGGGTAGGGAAGAAAGAAGCAGATGTGCAGGCAGAGGTAGGGATGCCCTGCAACCACAGATTCCACTCAGGTATTGCTCATATGCCTCAGTGTACTCTGACTCAGTGGCTTTCAGTCCCTGCTCCTCTTCCTTCTGCTGTCCCTGTTATCACCACTGGCATTTCTGTTCCTTTCCTTCTATGTCTCTCCAACTCCCAGAGGGAGGATTTGACCAACTGTGTTTGGTCATCACCCAATATCAAATCAACATAATGTACACTTATAAGCTAGGGATGCCTGAGAACATAACCTTCGATGTATCTATTTAGTGCTTGCAATAAACAGTGTGCCATTTATTGTACTTGGGTTGGCACGTGCATGTCTCCAAATTAATAAGAATGAAAAATGTAAGTGATTTAGCCAAAGCTGTACCATAATCCAGTGATCATATTGCATGCAAGTAATTAACAAGTTGCACCTGGTGAGTAGGAAGGCAGGCAGCCAGAGGCTCCAGAGCCATCAGAAGGGCTGTCAGGGCACAAGACTGCCAAGAAAGAAGGAAAGTGACTGTCTACTGGAAGAATCTGTGCAGGCTCCATCACAGGCAGCTGCAGCTCTGTATGAGGGCCTCTGGGGGAGCTGGGAACCTGTGCTTCTATGTGGGAACATGCTCCACTGTTTCCAGCTTTGTATAGAAATTTCTAATCATATAAATCTCAGTATTCTTGGACATCAAGGAAGTCTTATATTTTTAAGCAACCCTGTCTGCTACCATCTTCCCAACAACCCCACCACCATCTGTTTTGATGCCTACACAGAAGATATAAGCCAGTGGATCCTACATTTTTTTCAAGTATTTGCTGAAATACAAAGATTTATCAAAATTGCTAAGAAGCAGGGTACCATTGATGTTAAGATTACAAGGAAGGGCTATAATGAAAATGACAAGAAAATGCTCGGACAGAAGAGTCAATGAATTTGCCATGAGTCTCACGTGCCTTCTTTACCTGTGGAAGGGGTTCTTGTCTCTGCAATATCTTTGAACAAGAGCCTACAGATTCTTATGTTATTTTTTTTTAAGATATCAGAGTATCATACACTCACCGACATGGACTGACCCAAGGCCCCTGTGTCAGGTTGTGCAGGTCTGCACTGCATAACTTTAAGGGTACCATTTCCATCCCTACTCCCCAAACTTGTGCCACACAGCAGCCCTGGAAGTTACCCGTCTATAGCATGGAAAAGCAAGTACATGAATTCATAGATGTTAACAAGCAGTGCATTTGTAAAGCTAAAAAGAAACATTTTACCTGGTGTCCTTTCAGATCATCAGTCTCTCTGCTCAGTCAAGCACAATTCTTTTAATCCCTATCTTCATCCACTTGTCTCTCTAAAATTGATTGGGCTTCTCCTAGGATCTTCATGTTTGTACAAAGAAAGCCCAAGCTAAATTTTCAAGGTCAAGGAAAAAACATACGCTTTTCCCTGCCTAGATAAAACCTTCAGACAGACCAGAATAATGGACTAGCATTGCTACTGTCCAGATGTTCATGTCCTCCCAAAATTTGTATGTTGGAACCTAAAATCCAATGTGATAGTATTAAGAGGTATGATAGTTGATACAGTTTGGCTGTGTCCCCACCCAAATCTCATCTTGAATTGTAGCTCCCATAATTCCCATGTGTTGTAGGAGGGACCCGGTGGAAGGTAATTGAATCATGGGGACAGGTCTTTCCCATGCCATTCTCATGATAGTGAGTAAGTCTCATGAGATCTGATGGTTTTATAAAGGGGAGTTCTCCTGCACACACCCTCTTGCCTGCTGCCATGTAAGATGTACCTTTGGTCTTCCTTCACCTTCTGCCATGACTGTGAGGCCTCCGCAGCCACCTGGAACTGCAAGTCCATTAAATAAATTACCCAGTCGTGGGTATGTCTTTATTAGCAGCATGAGAACGAACGAATACGATAGTATTACAAGTAGGTGCTCTGCCTTCATGAATGGGATTAGTGCCCTTACAAAAAAGGCTTGAGGGAGGCTGTTTGTTCCCTTTCACCATGTGAGGATGCCATAAGAAGGCACCATCTGTGAAGCAGACAGCAAGCTCCCACCAGACACTGAATCTGCTGATGCCTTGATTTGGACTTCCCAGTCTCCAGAACTGTCAGTTACTCTCTCTTCTTAAGATCACATGACCAGAATTCTCCTAAGTCAGATAGGGTCAATGTTTTGCCTTAATTCCTGACTTGCATCTTTTTAACTCTGACACTAATTTTTCTCTTGGTTCACCTAAGACATCTATAATGTAACTTTATTGTTCTACATTTCAGATCATTTTCTGGCAATGCTTCTTTGACATAGCATACAAATTTTGCAACATGAAGCAATATACATTTCTTGACTTCAAAAAAATATGGTTTCCCCATAATGTATATGAAAACATATCAAAGGTGGGTTACATTATTAAATTCTGTAACTTGTATATTAATAACTTATGAAGTCTATGAATTATTATGTACCAATGATGCAAGAACATACAGCAAAATTAATGCTATCATTCATAGTGGACCCCCTCTATCATCACAGAGAAAATCATTGATGACCAGCACTGACTCCAATATTACCCAAGATCTATATTTAGTATGTCTTTAGGAGCATCATGGTTCCTTATTCAGAGGATGAGATTGTATGGAAATGGCCTATCCCATGCAGTTCAGCACAAGGAGACCCAGTGCAGTACAGGAACAATGTATGAAATGCTTAAAAATGACTATTCATTGCACATTAGAGAATGCCTATGTCACATTTTTACAATTACAGAACTCTTTTTTTTTTTTGGAGACAGAGCCTCACTTCGTCACCCAGGGTGGAGTACAGTGACGTGATCTCGGCTCACTGTAACCTCTACCTCCCGGGTTCAAGTGATTCTCGTGCCTTATCCTCCTGAGGAGCTGGGAATACAGGTGTGCACCACCATGTCCAGCTAATTTTTGTATTTTTAGTAGAGACAGGGTTTCACCATGTTGCCTAGGCTGGTCTGAAACTCCTGACCTCAAGTGTTTCTCCCACCTCAGCCTCCTAAACTGCTGGGATTACAGGCATGAGCCACTGTCCCCGGCAACATTACAGTCTATCATTTTTATAAAAATAGCAGCAACCTGTAAAAGTTCCCAGTGGAAAGCTGCATGGTCATACAGGGAGGGTTCACCAGGAAAGTTCCTACCTGCCTGTCTGCCAAGTGACCTTAAAAGGGAGCATAACTTGGTGAATTTGACATGATTCAGGTCATGATTCATGGGCTGGGAAACTGTATTCCATTCCAGGCTCATTCAGGCTCGAGGACGCTCTTGCATGTGAATTAAACCCACAGGAGACTGATGCACAAAACCAGAATAGAGCTTTATTTTACAATAAGAATTGTATAACTGCCGAGAGGTCAGAGAAGGACAGTGGGAAAATCACATTCTCTGCTCAAAGGCAGACTCTCCAGAAAGCCAGTTTACCGGGTGCCTGTTGCGGGGAACATGGAATCAGAATCAGTATGAGATTTGCCTAATTCGAATGTAACTGCATCAGACTCTGAAAACCTAGTGTGTCTGTCTCCACAACACAGGCCTGTCAGAAATGACCACTACAGAGCCAGGCAGGGTGCCCACCCCTGCTTAGCACCTCAGTGAATATGGCCAGTATCTGCTTCTCAGATTCTTTTTTTTTTGGAGACGGAGTCTCGCTCTGTCACCCAGGCTAGAGTGTGATGGTGTCATCACGGCTCACTGTAGCCTCAACCTCCCAGACTCAAGTGATCCTCCCACCTCAGCCTCCCAAGCAGCTGGGACCACAGGTGTGCACCACCACATCTGACTAATTTTTCTTATTTTTTGTAGAGATGGGGGGTCTCCCTATATTGCTAGGGCTGGCCTCAAACACCTAGGCTCAAGCAGTCCTCCCACTTCAGCCTCCCAAAGTGCTACAATTTTAGGCGTGTGCCACAGCACTTGGCCTACTGCAGTAGAGATATAGATACGAATACTTTTCTTAAGGGTACTGTACAGTTAGGCTGCCCTGGAACCATTCTGTCTCTTTGAGTTTCCTTCTCTACTCTGAACTTTAAGTGTCTATTTTCTTATTTTCTAGTTCATAGAAGACATTTCACTATCACAACTGTGTATTTACTGCCCACATTAACTAAATTATTGTGTACTTATTCATGTTTCTAGAAAACTTGAAAAAGATTTTTTAAAATTATCAACATAAAAACTCTGAAGGAGCCTTGAAGATGTTTTTAAAAAATTAAGTGAGCAGTTGAGGTAAATAATGAATGATTTTACAATCACAGATCATTTAACTTTAAAATAGCATAAAAATTCTTCTTAGTAAATCGTAACTAACAAGAAGAAGGAAATATAATGGTCGATAATTAATCAAATATCCAAAATGACGGCTAAGGGAAAAAAATCCACCACCGCCACCTGAACGACCTTTCAGTGAAATGAGCGTTGTGGATTTTAGAATTCAGAATTCTCTGTTCTTGTTCCTGTGAGTCTCTCAATCTAGCTGCTTTCCAGTCCTAATATTACTTGGCCTGTCTGGCAACATTGGTCTCTCTTGTTCTTGAAAGCTTCCCACAGCCGGGCACAGTGGCTCATATATGTAATCCCAGCACTTTGGGAAGCTGAGGCAGGAGGATCACTTGAGTTCAAGATTAGCCTGGGCAACATAGGGAGGTCCCATGTCTACAAAAATTAAAACATTAGCTGGGCATGGTGGCTCACACCTATGGTCTTAGCTCCTCGGGAGGCTAAGGTGAGAGGATCACCTAAGCCTGGGGAGGTCGAGGCTGCAGTGAGCTATGATCATACCACTACATTCCAGCCTGGGTGACAGAGCAAGACTGTCTCAAAAAAGAAAAAGGAAGAAGAAGGAGGAGGAAGGAGGAAGAAGGAAGAAGAAGAGAAAGAAGAAGAAGAGGAGGAGGAGGAAGAAGAAGAGGAAGGAGAAGGAGGAGGAGAAGGAAGGAAGGAAGGGAGGGAGGGAGGGAGGGAGGGAGGAAAGGAGGAAGGGAGAAAGAGAAGCAGAAGGAGAAGAAGAAATAAGAAAGCTTCCACGCTGGTTTCCATGAGCCACTCGGTAATCCTCCTCATCACTGCTCTCTGGCCACACTTCGTGGGCTCTGTCACTGCGTGCCCTTCCTCTGTCTGCTCTGAGGCCTGGCACTCCCTAGGTCTCCATCTGTACCTCTTTTCCTTCTTCCTCTACTTAATCTCATTCACTCCTGTGACTTTAAGAACTACTTAAATACAATGATTTGAAACCAGACAAAATGCATAAGCACAGCATAACACACATTAATAGTCCCTTGTTGTTCATTTTCTTGCTTTTCATTAGTCATCCTGAGATTCAGAAGTATATTTCCACCTGCCTACCAGCACCTCCACTTGACCATAGTTCCCTTTAACTCTTTAACTTCATCTGCTCAAAACACTTTTTTAAAACATCTCAAATCTCTTCTCCCATGATCTCTATCTGAGCTCATGATATCACCATCCACCTGCTTCCCCAAGCCCAAGCTTTGGAAGCCACAGTGAATGTGAGGCACTATTGGCTAACATGTAACAGTGACCATGTGACAGTAATTGTTAACAGTGTGCAAGAGAAAACTGTAAGGCTGGCTGCTAAATATGCCTGATAAATAACTGTCAACTTAACGCTGGTAGTATGATTAGGAAGAAGAGTGAAAGGGAAGAATAATTGGGTTCTGAGAGAGCCTTTGTTCATATGTATATGTCATTTCTAATTATAAATATGGAAATTTGATTAATTCTGTTTTTCCCACTCAACTCTAAGTTCTATAAGAGCTGGACCCATCCCTGTTTTGCTCATCACTGCATGCCCAGCACCTAATATAGTGCCTCACATATAGTAGATGCTCAGTAAACACTTGGTTCCAATTCCCTATGACCAAAGCTGACAATTCAGACTGATAAAGACAAACATTATATGAATTATTTATGTACAAGAATTAGTGTATCTATAAATGTATTGTCATGATGTACAAATATACAGAAAATAGAAATCTGCTGTCTTCTGGCATTTTGTCCTTTTCCTTAAAATCCTGCATTTACAAAAATAATATTCACTCCAGCCTTAAAATAAACTGAAAGACTTCCTCTCCCTAACCCCTCATCTGATCATCAAATTCTATCAACTTGGTCCTCTAAAATTCAGCTCAAAAACTGCTATCTCTGTGTAAAGTTATTGGCTATGTTCCAAATGCATTCTGCATATTGTCATGTATAATAGTAACATATTGTAATTATTTTAGTGTCTCCTCCTTCCTTCCCTCTTCCAAGTCCAGGAGCTACTTAAAGATTTTCAGGATCTCTTGTGCAATAACTGGGCTGAACATAGTACCTGATAACTAATTGACAGTCAATACATCACAAGTCAAAAGAAAAAAGAAATAGGATTTGGGAACACAAACATAGGATTTTGACAGCCACAATGAATTCTTTCATTCTTCCTACTCTGCACCTGTCTGTGGCCTTTTCCTCTACCATGTTCTGTCACATCCACATCATTATCTCGTGTCACAGAGCCTTCCCTGTGACTTCTGTGATGTATGGCTATGGGCATGGAATGGATGTACTTAACATTATGGCTTTTTTATTCTTTCTTCCTATTTATTCTGTCCCTTATCAGAAGCAAAGACCACAACATGTAGAAGTCTAATACAAAGTGCTGAAATATGCAAAGATAATATATGCACAGGGGTGCTGATTAAAACATTGACAAAAATGAAAGAATGTTGCTTTCAAGACACTCAGGTCTCTTTCTATACCTAAGTATATTATTCAACCATCAGAAAAGAACCAACTCCTTCCTAGATAAGAGACAACAGCACTTGCCCCTACCCATACTAATGCCACGGCTATTTGTCCATCAAAGTAAATGAATGGCTTTGTATTTGAATAGAAAAGAGGGGCACTCTGAGCTCTGAGGTGACAGATAATGCACTGATCAGTCACTCTCCAGTGGGGGTATCAGAAAAGTGAGGAAGAGAAAGTGATTCTGAGTAGTTTGGATTAATATTTGAATCTCAATCTTTATGAAAGAAATAGGAGCTTAACTTGCTATATAAAAGGTTTCAGTAGATAATAGATTTTTTGACATTGTTATGCAAGTAGATAGAATATTAACCTGCCTGGATTAATGAAAGCAATTACTAAGTGCTGTTACTATAAGTGGAATAGTTTCACTGTATCACATGTCCTGGTGATTCTTCATTTAGCCCAGATGATGCCAGGGGCTATTTGACAAAATGTTTCGTATATCTAAGAAGACATATTTTGCTGGTTTAAACCATAATCTTTGACATTTGTACCCACTGTGGATTTATGCCTCTTGTACACTCATTACAATTTAAGCAGAAACATTTTTCATGAGCAGAAAAGGAAAAATCTTAGATTTCATTAGCGAAAAAGCCACTGTCCCTACTGTCCTATTGTGATATGCTAATATTCACCCTGGAAAGAATAATTTAAGAACTCAAGCCTCTATATATGCAATTCAACTACTGTAGATTCAAAGATGGTCACAATAATTTATATACTCAAAGTTATGAAGGGTTAAAGAACTAATTATGAAAGACAATTTTTGTCCTTCTTCCCTACATAGGGAAAAATTTCTTAAAGACACAAAAATACATAACAAAGAGAAAAATTAATAAATTCAATTACATTCACCAAATTGAGAATTTTATCAAAGGACACCACAAAAAGAGTAAACTGCAGAGATGAAGATATTTGCAACACATACAAAGAATAAAGGACTAGGGGCCAGAATATATATTATACAAAGAACTCCTATAGATCATTTTGAAAAGACAGGTAACATTTGAAATGGCTGAAGACTTAAACAGGCATTTCATAAATTAGGAAATCGAAATAAAAATATGAAAAATTGCTCAAGCTTATTAGTAACTAGGGATAATGCAAATTATAAGTACCATAGGATACCATTATACACCCATCAGTTGAGCCAAATGTTAAAATCTGACAATATCCAATGATGGTGAGAATAGAGAATTCTCATACACTGCTGGAAGGTAAATAAATTGGTATGATCGCTTTGGAAAATACAGGCAGGTTGAAGATTGGCAATTCTACACCACCGTGATCACGCTCATAGAAATTCGCAAACATGTTCACCAGGCTATATGTACAACAGGTGCAGAGCAGCACTATTCATAATAGCCCAAACAATGAAAGCAAGTCAAAACCCATCAACTAAAAAATGGATAAACTGTGGTACAATCATACAATGGGATACTATACCATAACAAAATGAAATAACTAGCACTGTGTACAACAACCTGGAGAATCTCACACACACACAAAAAAAAATGTTAAATGAAAGAAAAAGCATTAAATAATATATGCAATATTATTCCATTCATGTAAAGTTCAAAAAGCAGACAAAAACTAAATTATGTGTGATAAAACTATAAAAGAAAATTAAGTAAATTATTACAACAAGTTGTGGACAATGGTTGTCTGGGACAGAGAAAGCTACGATGGAGAAGGGCACAAATGGAGATTGTGCGGTGCTTATGATATTCTATTTCCTTCATCTGGGTGGTGGCTACATGAATAGCAGGTTTATATTATTTGTTAAACTGTATATTCATGTTTGTGCACTTTTTCTGTATATATGGTATATTTCCCACAGGATGTTTTTCAGAAAGGTTATATAGACATATGAGACTAGATGGTCTGGTAAAAGAATGACAGGTGATAGACAAAAGGCAAACAAAAAATATAATCAGGAGGTAATAAGTGCTATGAAGAAAAGAAAAGCAGGATAGGGGAATAGGTTGAGAAGAGAGAACTATTTAACGGCTTGTAGCACCAGGATCTCCATAGTTAAGCCTCATGGAGTGCCACTGTGAACACAGCAAAGGCAATGCAAATTGAATGCACAATGAAGTTTCAAATTGTGCTGCATGCAAGATTTCATAAAGTCCACAAGAGATGGCTCCAACAACATCAAAAGTCCCTGACAGATAAAGATCTGGCAGCATTAGACTGTCAACAATTGAAGAAAAGAAAATAAGAAAAGCTGTCTATATTTTGGGTGCTTCATGAGAGAATAATCTTAATGATGAAATTTTTTTAAGGCTTAGAAAACTAATGAAGCCCTCAAATATGGTGTGAGATCTCTTTATAAGAATGCTGCAAGAGTCAGATGTGAAGCGAAGGCTGTTGTAATATGCCTTTTTTATAGAAAAACAATCATGCTATAAATAACAATAAAGCATTTTTAATTTGAAAAATTAGTTGACTGCTATTTTTATCTAGATAGATAGACCAATAGATAGATAGATAGATAGATAGATAGATAGATAGGATAGATAGGTGGGGTTTTTTGTTTTTTTTTTTTTTTTTTTTTTTTTTAGACAGAGTCTCACTCTTTTGCCCAGGCTGGAAGTGTGGTGACACGATCTCAGCTCACTGCAACCTCTGCCTCCCAGGTTCAAGCGATTCTCCTGTCTCAGCCTCCCCAGTAGCTCAGAGTACAGGCGCCTGCCACCACACCTGGCTAATTTTTGTATTTTTAATAGAGACGGGGTTTCACCATGTTGGCCAGGCTGGTCTCGAACTCCTGACCTCTAGTGACCCGCCCACCTTGGCCTCCTAAAGTGCTGGGATTACAGGCCTGAGCCATCACGCCAGGCTGTCAATAAACTTTTATGTTGACATACTTCAATAGAGTTTCAGTCAATCCCTCTTTTCCCTCCCTAATTTTTCCTATTTGAAAAGAATCCGCTCTCTCCTGTTTTGTTCAGCAAAATGTAAAACATTGATAAGATTTATACCTTTTTGAAAAAAATAGACTATGGTTGAGCCCATACATTCGATGAACATTTGTTCGTCACCTACTATGTGCTAGGCTCTGGGGAGAAACAAAAACAAATGAAACAAGAATCACCAAGACTCAAGAAGCTTACAACGAACGGCGAATAAAAAGGCTAGAAAACCACTGGCTTCGGGAATCTGTGGTAAGTGCTATTCAAAATGGGTGTCCAGGCCAGGCGCGGTGGCTCACGCCTGTAATCCCAGCACTTTGGGAGGCTGAGGCGGATGGATCATTTAAGGTTAGGGGTTTGAGACCAGCCTGGCCAACATGGTGAAACCCCACCTCTACTAAAAATAGAAAAATTAGCTGGGCGTAGTGGCGGGCGCCTGTACTCCGAGCTACTCGGGAGGCTGAGGCAGGAGAATCGCTTGAACCCAGGAGGTGGAGGGTGCAGTGAGCCGAGATTGCACCACTGCACTCCAGCCTGGGCGACAGAGCAAGACTCCGCTCAAAAACAAAACAAAACAAAAAGTGTGTCCAAAGGAAGGGCCTCTAAATCAGATTTCTCATGGGGCATTAGAAATATAGAATTTTGTTTTTGCCATATTTTTCATACAATCTTAGCTTAATAACAAAAACACAAATTAGTCACAGGCAGTCATCAGGACAAAAAAAAATCAGAAATATAAATTCTGAATAAGCTATAAACTAGATAACAAGGCCTTGAATAATTCCATTTTCTTAACTTTAAGTTGATATCTAATAAGACAGGAGTGCAACATCGAAACGCTGTCTTGTTTGAATTATAAATCTTCACTTTAAAGCGGCAGATGGAGCGCCTTATGTTCACAGAAAGCAAGCCAAGGGCTCAGAAAAGGTAACCACTCCGCCAAAGGGAAAGACACAAAACAGAAAACATGGCTCTGAACTTATATGCCCTCGAAGGGTTAACAGATGCCTGAATTTGTGAGAATTTTACAGAATTAGAATGGAACTAGTACAAAGTCCTCCAATGTGTTTTCCTTTCTGGGTCATGCAAACACGTACGTTCTACGGAAGATTTCAAGTACAACAAAAAAATCCGGGTTTCCCATCACAGAACCTAAGTCGCCGCATTTCCTCTGGTGTATAACATGTTGTTGATGCAGTTATTGTCCTTTGTTTTTTTTTTAGCTCTGTTTCCTTAAATGCCAAAACTACACACACGAAGTATGTAATACGAACACTGTGACAATGAGGAGATGCAAGTAACATTTTATTCACCTGAAGAAACTAAACCCCAACATTTTGCTTTTTGTCTACAGACACAGTTCCTGTAAACACAGAATCAAATACGGTGCGCGTAGAAAATAAAAAGATCCTCCCACACTATGGCACTTCCTTCAATGGAGGCTACTCGGGAGGCTGAGGCAGCGAATTGCTTGAACCCGGGAGGCGGGGTTGCATTGAGCTGAGATTGCGCCACTGCACTCCAGCCTGGGCGACAGAGCGAGACTCCGTATCAAAAAACAAACAAAACAACAACAACAACAACAAACAAGATGTTGTATTCTTGACATTTAGGCATTTTCTAAAATATTACATTTTTTATAAAATTTCTCTGCCATGGAAAAAAAATCCACCTTTGCCAGAGCAAAGGAAGCCAGTGAAAGAAGTAATTCATTGGGAGTATAATTATAAGCATTTAGCATTGTTTTGAACATGAGAAAAAGGCAAGCTTTCATCTAACAGATTTTCATAATCTCAAGAAATAATTCATCTGCCATTTATTTTCAGGGAAATGTGGTGCTTCTTGGAAGAAGCCCAGAGGATCCTGCTGTTAAACCAAGACCCATGCAGGAAAAAAAAATTATCCACTCCACAATAACATGGCAGGTAACACAAAGGCAGTGGTACTTCTCCAGCCGGGAGAGGCCCCCTCAAAACAGGAACTCCTGCCGGCTGACTTAATTACAGCACAGCAAGGGAATCCACTACAAAGGCAGGAGCCACTGAACAGAGAGCTGCTGAGATCCGTCCTCGGTACACGGACAGATGGTTCTGCTGCTTCTCGGCTGGTATAAGACCTTATAGAAGACTCTGAAAACTGAAACACGCCAACAAGTTTTCTGTTACCAGTATTTTTTTTTTAACTCTGTGCCCAGGCCAGGAGCGGTGGCTCACGCCTGTAATCTCAGCGCTTTGGGAGGCCGAGGCGGGCGGATCGCGAGGTCAGGGGTTTGAGCATCCTGGCCAACATGGTGAAACCCCGTCTTTACTAAAAATACAAAAATCAGCTGGGCGTGGTGGCGCTTGTCTGTAGTCCCAGCTACTTGGGAGGCTAAGGCACGAGGAATCGCTCGAACCCAGGAAGAGGAGGTTGCAGTGAGCCGAGATTGCACCACTGCGCTCCAGCCTGGCGACAGAGCGAGACTCCGTCTCAAACAAACAAATAAACAAAAAAACCCTTTGTGCCCACCGTATGCTAGCGTAAAAGTAATCTGAATTTGAAAGTCAATCAGCAAGTATTTACTGAGCGACGTGTAAGGGATAAGGAAAAGGTCTAAAGCAGCTTATCTAGTTTAGGGACATGGATTAAACTCTGATTTAATTTTAGGGCTTTTGACTTTTTCATCATCACACACAGACACACACAAACACACACACACAAAATTAGAGGAGAGGCCATGAAAGCACTGCCTTGAAAATTCTCAGACAAATTTACAGAAACAGAGTGAGTCCATGTAAGAAACCTGACCTTATACACAGGGACGATGCACTGAAACCTGTTTCACAGCAAAGGGAACTGAAAGTTTCTAAAGCAGTCACCACAGCAGCCACGTGGCTTAGAACACAAAACAGACAGCCCCCTAAATTATGAAGTCATACACACAGCTGCTAAATAACAGCACTGAGTAAACTCTATCTTGTAAAAAATGTTTAAACAAAATGAAAATTTAACTACAAACATTATTTATGGAATTAATATACATGCAAATTTTCTGCATGCAAACTCTACCTTCCTGGTCACTTTGAAGGATATAAATTAATCAAAATCACAAAATTCTTCAATCTTATGTAAGAATGTACAATAATGCCACTGAAGCAATTTAGAACTTACAATGCCCATAGCATAGAATCTATTATATATAGATATCTAATTATATCTATCTAAACACATACATATACAGATGCTCCTCAACTGATGATGAGATTATGTCCTAGTAAACCCATCATAGTTTGAAAAATATCATAAGTCAAAAATACATTTAATACGCCTAACCTATCAAATACAGCTTACTTAGCCTCACCTACCTTAAACATGCTCAAAACACTTACATTAGCCTATATTTGGGCAAAAATCACCTAACACAAAGCCTATTTAAAGTAAAGTGTTGAATAGCTCATGTAATTTGTTGACTGGTGTACTGAAAGTGAAAAACAGAATAGACGTGTGGGCACCCAAAATATGGTTTATATAAAGTCAAAAAATTATAAAGTCAAAAAATAATTATAAAGTCAAAAAATCATTAAGATGAACCATCGTTAAGTCAGGGACCATCTGCATACATATATAAATACATACACATACATATTCCTATTTAATACTGATATCAACTCTATAAACTAAAAATGCACAGCTTGGTGAGTCTGAATGAGTTAATATATTTAAAGCACTTGGAGAACTTCTATCAATACAAGCTTTGAAGTCACACTGCCTGACTGAGATTTTGGTTCCATCGCTAGACAAATTAATTTATCTGTGCTGCAATTTTCTCATCTATGTAAGTGGAAATAATAATAAAAGCCTCTACTTCATAGGCTAATGAGGCATATGCTATCTGGCATATTAAATATCTAGCACAATACCCAGTATGTGGTAGGCAATGAACACAAGCGAGCTATTTTTAAACTTTATATATTTGGCCAGGCACGGTGGCTCACGCCTGTAATCTCAGCACTTTGGGAGGCCAAGGCAGGCGGATTGCCTAAGCTCAGGAGTCCGAGACCAGCTTGGCCAACATAGCAAAACCCTGTCCCTACTAAAAACACCAAAAATTAACCAGGCATGGTGATGCGTGCCTGTAATCCCAGCTACTTGGGAGACTGAGGCAGGAGAATCGCTTGAACCTGGGAGGCGGAGGTTGCAGTGAACTGAGATCGCGCCACTGCACTCCAGCCTAGGAGACAGAAGGAGACTCTGTCTCAAAAAAAAAAAAGTTTTTATATTTGGCCTCCAGTAATGGAGGCCTTTTTACAAAGGGAATCCGAATTAAAACTTGGGTCTCCTGATAAATTTGAGAATACTTTCTACAGCCATGCTGCTGGGAACCATACAAAGGAGGCATTTAATCAAACTGATACGACTAAGTATTATTATGATACAGTAGCAAAAAGTAACAATGGTTGCACATGATGACACTAAATGCCAAAATCTTTACATGATGTCAGAAGATAAGGTCAAGTGCTCCTTCAGAACATATGCCCTACAACACGTTACCTTGTTCTTTTCTGCTATGATTCTCTTTGTAAAAAGTTATATATCTGAGTAATAAATTGCTACACTAAGTATCTGAGAGTACTGCTTTGGGTCACAAAAGCAAAATAATTTGCTTATAAAAACAATTAACCTTAGGCCAGGTGCGGTGGCTCATGCCTGTAATCCCAGCACTTTGAAAGGCCGAGGCAGGCTGATCACTTGAGGCCAGGAGTTCAAGACCAGCCTGGCAAACACGGCAAAACCCTGTCTCTACTAAAAATACAAAAATCAACCAGGTGTGGTGGCGCATGCCTGTAATCCCAGCTACTCAGGTGGCTGGGGCACAAGAATTTCTTGAACCCAGGCAGTGTAGGCTGCAGTGAGCTGAAATCACACCACTGCAATCCAGTCTGGGCAACAGAGCGAGACACTGTCTCAAACAAAACAAAAACAAAAACAACAACAACAAAAAAACCTAACTTAAAAATACTAAATATTCAGTGAAAACTAGAGTCATGCTAAACCAAAACAGTGTTTTAGCTCCAGGTATTAATGGCCACTTCTGGAGCCATAAGCAAAGCTGATAATATAGCTCCTAAATAAAGAACTGGAATATGGTTGGCAAAGAATCACCTTCTTAATTTCTTAAGAATGTTCAACTCTGGCACAAAGTGGACAAGGTGAGTATGGGTGAATATCCTTCTAGAGAGATAAGACTAGAAGACTGAGGATCTACAGAAGGGGATGCCCAGTTATTCTCTCTCCCCCTACTCTCGAAACTCACTCATTAATTCATGTATTTATCAAAATGGCATGTCAATACCCTGAGCAGCCACTCAGGACAGGACTCCTGCATTGCTACAATACCGATCCCCCAGCCTCTCCTCTGCCCCTCAACCTGCCTTAGCTGCTGTCATTTTATCTACACTGGACAGGACCTGTCCATTTCCTGTCTTCCTTCCAATTATGTTTGTCCATGTCTGGACCTGGCTGGTTGTTCCCTGCAGCCCCTTGCTGGTTACCTTACTCTGACAGTGATGCAGCCAGAGGCACTAAAGGGTTAGCCCAAGGGCCCCAGCCCTGCATTTGGCCCATGAAGGGGCTTACGATCCTCGTTTTCTGGGTTTGGGTGATGTTAGAGGAAAGTGCCCCAGCCCAGCACCATTCCTTTTTGCTTCTGGTTTGGAGCTCTAGACCACAGCCTTAGTTCTGGTCAGTTGTTAAGTAATTATTTAACAGTGTGACGTTCAGACCTGCATGACATCTATACAGTGTCCAGTAAAGAAAGAGAAAGCCATGGTCCCTACCTTCAAAAAAGAAAAAATGCCACGTAGGTGCTTGGTGATACAAAGTTGAGTAAGACACACATAATCTGGTGGAGGAAACAGACCTGAAAATCAATAATCACAGAACAGTGGAACATTATAGTTGCCTCAGTCTTTACAGGGGAACACAGAGGAGCACCAGCTAAAGAATGTGTACTTTGGACAAAGTTATATGCCAGGTACTCCTATATATATGATCTAATACAAAAATAAACATCAGTCCTATACTGTTAGATGAAGAAATAGGTTCCAAGATTTAAGAGGCAGAACTGAGAATGCAAGTCCTGCGCTATCATCCTCCACACGCCTCTCCTTTGTCCCTCTCCACCTTCCTTCCCCCTTTATTTTCCTTTCCTAGAAGGGAAGGAGGGTGTCAGCATCTCAATCAAAAGTCAAAACTCACATGTCAACAGGTAAGTGACAGATGATGTAAATGAGGGAAGAACAGAGATAGTGAGATAACTCAGATGAGATGGAATGGTGGGGACTCTGGTGAATTAGAGATTCACGCTCTTTCTAAAAGAAAGGTGAAGGTTCATGCCTGTAATTCCAGCACTTTGGGATGTAAAGGCAGAAGATCGCTTGAGGCAAGGAATTTGAGACCAGGCCAGCCAATATAGTGAAGTGTTGTCTCTACAATAAATTTAAAAATTAGCCAGGTGTGGTGATGCACACCTGTAGTCCCAGGTACTCAGGAGGCTGAGATGTAAGGATCACTTAAACCCAGCAGGTCTAGGCTGCAGTGAGCTGTGTTTGTCTCACTGCACTCCAGCCTAGGTGACAGCGCAAGAGACCCTGTCTCAAAAAAAAAAAAAAAAAAAAAAAAAAAAAAGCCACGCATGGTGGCTCATGCCTGTAATCCCGGCACTTTGGGAGGCCGAGGCAGGCGGATCACCTGAGGTCACAAGTTCAAGACCAGCCTGGCCAACATGGTGAAAGCCCATCTCTACTAAAAATATAAAATTAGCCAGGCATGGTGGCATGCACCTGTAATCCCAGCTACTCAGGAGGCTGAGGCAGGAGAATGGCTTGAACCTGGGAGATGGAGGTTGCAATGAACTGAGACCACACCACTGCACTCCAGCCTGGGTGACACAGTGAGACTCCGTCTCATAAAAAAAAAAAATAAAGGAGGGGAGCGGGGAAGGGGAGGGGAGGGGAATGGAGGGGAGGAGGGGGAGAGGAGAGGAGAGGAGGACTCATTCACCTCTAGCCCTCTGATGCCACACAGAAATGTGGGCCCAAGGCTCTGTGAAATCTTCCAGTTTTTTGAGACTGGCCTGAAATCCTGTTTATGTGATTCTGTTTCTTGAAAAAAGCAGCTCCCTAAATCAAAATGTTTATCAATCACCAAGCCTGACTGTGGCCACGGGATATCAGCTTGCAATATCTGCTGTAGACCAAAGGTGGCCAGGCTTGTCGGCATTGCTCCCGACACTATGGTGTTTCACTTAGAAAGTTTAACAACCACACAGTCATCGCAAAACAAACCACAGGACTGGTGCCACTACTG
The DNA here is from genome assembly GCF_000001405.40 of Homo sapiens. Classification (NCBI taxonomy): domain Eukaryota; kingdom Metazoa; phylum Chordata; class Mammalia; order Primates; family Hominidae; genus Homo; species Homo sapiens. The sequence goes on along the minus strand of NC_000012.12, from coordinate 32,134,705 downwards.
TTATCAAGACTTTATTCTAATTCTGAGGTATTAAGGAGAGAGGCACACAATGACAGAGTCGCGGTGCTGAAAACACCTGACTCACTTCCTTGACATCCCTACCAAGTAGCTTTTTGGCTCTGCTTAAGCATCATGATGAGCCAACAGGGAAGTCTCTCTCTCCTCAGATGGCCTGCTCACTTTCACTCTGCTCTTAGACATTAGAGAAGGTCTTTTTTTATATTAAGTTGACCTCTGTATCCCTGTATCTGCCACCCATTGGTCTCTGGACCACTTTACCTAGAACACAATATCCCAGGAGCAAGAAACCAACGTTATCATCACATTACAAACAGTGTTTCTGTTCATACAAAGATCATATCAGCTTTTTACTTGGACTAGCACACTTGCCTCCCTGGCCCTCGGGGACCATAGCATGATCTAGCAGTGCCAGTGAGTTAACAAAGGCTTACCAAGTTCCATGGTAGGGCACAGGGAGAGCTGTTATTTCCATCAGTCACATGTTTTACTTTAATTCTAGCTCAAGAATATATTTATGCCCCAGTCTCCATGTTCCTAATCTACAGTGCACAACTGCTTCCTATAAATAATTATTTTAACTTTGGTTTAAAAAGTACTGGCATCCAGCCAGGCACAGTGGCTCAGGCCTGTAATCCCAGCACTTTGGGAGGCCGAGGTGGGTGGATCACCAGGTCAGGAGATCAAGACCATCCTGGCCAACACAGTGAAACCCCGTCTCTACTAAAAATACAAAAAATTAGCCAGGCGTGGTGGCAGGCGCCTGTAGTCCCAGCTACTCAAGAGGCTGAGGCAGAAGAATGGCGTGAACCCGGGAGGCGGAGGTTGCAGTGATCAGAGATCGTACCACTGCACTCCAGCCTGGGGGACAGAGCAAGACTCCATCTCAAAAAAAAAAAAAAAGAACTGGCATCCATTTCAGAAACTGGATAAAGTTGGTTTCACAGAATGTTAAAAAGTATCCATGGCTAGTTTGTTTGACTTTATAGGAATAAAAATGACTTAACAGTTTAGCTTTATAACAGAAACTAAGAAATATGGCTCCACACTTAATATGCATCATGAAAGGTAGCCAACTTAGGTCCAGTAAATTACATCATAGAGCATTATAACTATAGAATGCTGCTTGTTTTTCTGGCAAAGTCATGAATCCCTTCCAAATGAGAAACATTTTGGCAGACTCATCTTTTTTTTTTTTCCCAGATGGAGTCTTGTTCTGTCGCCCAGGCTGGCTTGCAGTGGCACGATCTTGGCTCACTGCAACCTCTACCTCCCAGGTTCAAGTGATTCTTGTGCCTCAACCTCCCGAGTAGCTAGGATTACAGGTGTGCACCACCATACCCGGCTAATTTTTGCATTTTTAGTAGAGATGGGGTTTCACCATGTTGGTCAGGCTGGTCTCAAACTCCTGACCTCAGGTGATCCACCTGACTCAGCCTCCCAAAGTGCTGGGATTACAGGCATGAGCCACCCCGCCTGGCCAGGAGACTCATCTTAAAATTATTTTTCAGACAAAGTATCAATATTGGTATCCACAAGAATTTTCAAATTCAAATAAGCAAATATTTCGTCTCCTAAATTTAAGTGTGAAATATTATTTTATTCCTTTTTATATCTCCTTATCATATGATTTCTTTACATTCTTCCTAGCTCCTTATAAGAAACCTAGGAGCCATCCTGATTTCTCCACCTTCTTTTGCCTCCCATATTTAATTAATTAGCAAATCTTTCAACATATACCCTGAATCAGATCACTTCTTACCCTCAAGTAGATTCTCTCTCAGTCTAAGCCACCATCATCTCTTACCTGAACTACTGCAATAGCCTCCTAACTTGGCTCACTCTTCCACTGTCTGCAAGGAATAACCAGAGTGATCTTTTAAAAACATGTATGAAATCACATCACTCAGGCGGCTTAAAATAAAATCCAGACTTCTCACCAGGGCTCAGAGAACCTGCTTGCTGACTCCCTCTCCACTGCCCCTCTCACATTCCCCCTCCCCAACAACTGCCACACTGGAGTCTTTTGGGGTCCTGGTTGAAGGCAGTACTGCCCCCTTGGCGTTGGGGCGGGCAGTGGGTGTCTAGAATGTGTGACTGTTTTTGTAATGACAGTGACTAGGGATGCTAACCGTCCCGCATTGAGCCACACAGTCCCACAGTGCACAGCACAGTTCCGAGCCGCAAAGGCTTGCAGTACCCAAAATGCCATTTGCCATTTTCACAAAAACCCAGTTCATTCTCATCTCAAGATCTTTTTTTTTTTTTTTTTGAGACAGAGTCTCGCTCTGTCGCCTAGGCTGCAGTGCAGTGGCACAATCTCGGTTCACTGCAACCTCCGCCTCCCGGGTTCAAGCAATTCTCCTGCCTCAGCCTCCTGAGTAGCTGGGATTACAAGCGCCTGCCACCACACCCAGCTAATTTTTGTATTTTTAGTAGAGACAGGTTTTCACCATATTGGTCAAGCTGGTCTCGAACTCCTGACCTCATGATCTGCCCACCTTGGCCTCCCAAACAGCTGGGATTACAGGTGTGAGCCACAGTGCCCAGCCCCCATCTCAAGATCTTTACACTTACTGTTACTTTTGACCCAGGAACTGAAATATTTTCCCATCTTGCTCAAATATTTTCCCACCTTGCTCCTTCTGACCACTTGGGATTCAGCTCCAACATCATCTCCTCTGAAAGGCCATGCCTGGCCCTCATTTCTCAAATAGCCACCCCAGCCAGCACCCCCGCCAGTCTTGTTATTCCTCCACCTTGCTTTATTTAGTTTTTAGCACATATCACCCTGTAAAATTATGCATTTACTTGCTTAAGCTTTTGTTGCCTTTCTCCCCCACAAGTGTGTCAACCCGCTGAGGGCAGGAACTTTGTACCCTGGCACCTAACAATGGCTGGGGTATACCAAGCGTTTAGTCATCAGATATGCAGTGGATAAATGTCTCCATAATTTTTCTTATTTACGATCAGGAATTTTTTTAAATCTTCAATTTGGGAGTGCAGTGTCTCGTAGTTATCATTTCTAGTTATTTTTTCCTACACCAAGTTCCCCTTTTTGTGCAACAGAGTTGTTTTACATTCCACAATTTTTATTTTTGCAGAGGACAGAGAGGTGATGGTAAACTTAAAATATCCCAAATCACCATGCAACTGTTTCACAAAATGTGAAGGAGGGCTTTTTATGAACACAGTATTTTTGTAAGCCTCAGAGTAAATGTGTAAATTCTGGCTAACTGACCAGTAAAGCTATGGTAGGACCACTTCTGGGGGCAATAATCATCCGATGAGAGAGCAGCTCCCTTTACTGGAGCCACCGAAATAGAAAATGAGCACCACCTTTTGTCAAAAAGGCTCACAAATCTTTTCAAGACCGAGAAGAGCTGAAATATACGGCAACAGAAAAATAATTTTTTTAAAAAAATCACACTTTGAAAGCACTAAATCCAAAGTTCAAACCAGGTCTAGAAGTGAATTAGAGATAAGTGATAAGGGGGATGTATAGGCTTACAACTGGACTTTAAAATATGATTTTATTTAAATGTCACGGAGCAGCCTGGCGTGGTGACTCACACCTGTAATCCCAGCACTTTGGGAGGCTGAGGCGGGCAGATCACCTGAGGTCAGGAGTTCGAGACCAGCCTGGCCAACATGACGAAACCCCGTCTCTACTAAAAATACAAAAATTAGCCGGGAATGGTGGTGCATGCCTATAGTCCCAGCTTGAGAGGCTAAGGCAGGAGAATTGCTTGAACCCGAAAGGCAGAGGTTGCAGTGAGCTGAGATCACACCACTGAACTCCAACCTGGGCGACAGAAATAGACTCCATCTAAATAAATAAATACATAAATGTCAAGGAGCATTATTTATTTAACTATATAGAAGCCTGGAAAGATATGTTAAAAAAAGAATGAGCATACTTCGATTACTTTTATGTTCCACACACATATGATCTATGCTCAAACAGGGTCTAAATGAGATACTAGATGTTAAACAGTGCTTCTCTCTAACGAGTGGTATTTGGGAACTGACATACAATCACCTATGGCTTCTGTGAGACTGCTGGGCCCAAGCACTGTATGCATTTTAGATCTTAATACAGACTGCCAATCCACGTTCTCAAAGTTCACAGCAATTCACACTTCTACCTCTACACACTTTCCGACACTGTATATTATCATTATTTAAAAATTTTGGGGCCGGGCGTGGTGGCTCACGCCTGTAATCCCAGCACTTTGGGAGGCTGAGGCAGGCAGATCACGAGGTCAGGAGATCGAGACCACGGTGAAACCCCGTCTCTACTAAAAACACAAAAAGTTAGCCGAGCGCGGTGGCAGGCGCCTGTAGTCCCAGCTACTTGGGAGGCTGAGGCAGGAGAAGGGCATGAACCCGAGAGGCGGAGCTTGCAGTGAGCCGAGATTGCCCAGTGCACTCCAGCCTGGGCGACAGAGCGAGACTCCATCTCAAAAAAAAAAAAAATTTTGTCACTGTATATTATCATATTTAAAATTTTTGTAAATTAATGGGAAAAAAAGTAAACTTCCTTAATTTACATTCACTGACTACTCAGATTGAACATCTCTTCCCATTTACTGATTTACTTGCAAATCCTCTCTGACTAGTTGCTCTTTGTCCTTTTTTCCTATTGCATTATGTTGTTTTCAATAAACTCATTGTACCTATATTTTAGGAATAATAATTGTTTGTAAGTCATCCACATCGCACTATTTCTTCCAAACTGTTCTTTTTCATTTCTAAAACCAAATAAGTCAGTCCTCCCTTTTGATTCTAAGTTTTGTATCTTGCTTAGGGAAATTTCCTCCCAGTGACATTTAATAAATATTCTCAGGAATTTTCTACTGAGTAGAATTCATTTTTTTAACAAACCATTAAGTCCTTGGTATTGCAATGTAAAGTTAATGAAGGGAGGGGATAAAAGAAGATGAGAAAGAAAAGGGTACAGGGTTAAGAAAGAGACTGGAAAAGTCTTATTTCTTAATGTTGAAGAAAGAGTTTTAGGCCAGGTGCGGTGGCTCATGTCTATAATCCCAGGACTGTGGGAGGCTGAGGTGGGAAGATCGGTTGAGCCCAGAGTTTGAGACCAGCCTGGGAAACATAGTGACACCTTGTGTTTACAGAATTTTTTTTTTTTTTTTTTTTTTTGAGATGGAATCTCGCTCTGTCGCCCAGGCTGGAGTATAGTTGCGCCATCTCAGCTCACTGCAACCTCCACCTCCTGGGTTCAAGCAATTGTCCTGCCTCAGCCTCCCAAGTAGCTGGGACTATAGGCATGTGCCACCATACCTGGCTAATTTTTTTTATTTTTAGTAGAGACAGGATTTCACTATGTTGGCCAGGCTGGTCTCCAACTCCTGACCTCAGGTGATCCGTCTGCCTGGACTCCCAAAGTGCTGGGATTACAGGCATAAGCCACCATGCCCGGCCTACAAAAAATTTTTAAAAAATTAGTTGGGCCTCTAACCCCAGCACTTTGGGGAGCTGAGGCAGGCGGATCACCTGAGGTCAGGAGTTCGAGACCAGCCTGGACAACATGGTGAAACCCCATCTCTATAAAAATACAAAAATTAGCCAGGCACAATGGTGCATAATCCCAGCTACTCGGGAGGCTGAGGCAGGAGAATCTCTTGAATCTGGGAGGCAGAGGTTGCAGTGAGCCAAGATCGTGCCACTGCACTCCAGCCTGGGCAACAGAGCGAGATTCTGTCTCAAAAAAAAAGAAAAAAAAAATTAGTTGGACATGGTGGTGCATGCCTGTAGTCCCGGCTACTTGTATGGCTGATGTGGGAGGGTTGCTTGAACCTGGGAGGCTGAGGCTACAGTAAGCCAAGATCGTGCCCTTGCATTCTAGCCTGCGCAACAAAACAATACCCTATCTTAAAAAACAAAAAAAGGAATAAAAAGAAGTTTTAAAAGATTCTAAAGTAACAATACATTTCTCATATTGATATATTATGACAGGAAAAAAACTCAAGTATTTTGGCTTGAAAATATAAACTATAAACATATAGGAAAAATTTTGGTTTAAAACTAAGCACAAATTACGCTGGTTTTTTTTTAAGAAAAGGAACAATTATATTTTTCATAATACTAAAAATGAAATAATGTAAAGTGATAAAAAGCAATTAATTCCTACTTAGGTAATATTTCATCTCAGCCTTTTCCATTAAAACTTTAACTTTTATGTGATTATGAGGTTATTTATACCTAAAGAGACCATTTATGTATATAGAGAATTAGTACAGGCATTTATTCTTCCAGGGACTGAGATAAGAGGAAAATAACCAAGGGAAGAATTTGTTCAGCACTAGAGGCAATATTTCAGATGCTTAAGTGGAAATACGCATATGCTTCCTCAAAAATCACAAATAGAACTGTTAGATTAGAACTTGTACCTTTTTGAATACTTTATGAAAAGCCCTTAAATAATATTTTTTTCCAAAGTGACTTCTTAAGAATTAGCTCAGGCCGGGTGCGGTGGCTCACGCCTGTGATCCCAACACTTTGGGAGGCGGAGGCGGGCAGATCACCTGAGGTCAGGAGTTTGAGACCAGCCTGGCCAACACGGTGAAACCCTGTCTCTACTAAAAATACAAAAATTAGCCGGGTGTGGTGGCATGCACCTGTAATCCCCGCTACCTAGGAGGCTGAGGCAGGAGAATCACTGGAGCCTCGGAGGCAGAGGCTGCAGTGAACTGAGATCGCGCCACTGCACTGCAGCCTGGATGACACAGCAAGAGTCTGTCTCAAAAAAAAAAAAAAGAATTAGATCACAGCCCCAATAAGATTTCTGGTAACATCTAATTAGACAATTGAGTTCCCTTGCTGGAGCTTGTCTGCTTTGCTTATAAAAACATGTGCAAAGTCTAAGACAACCACAACTAGACCCTCAATATCCTCCTCCTTAATGCTTATTGGGGAAACGGAAATAAACAGTGTGATCTGCCTTCGTTCACACTTGTCACTTCCTTGTAAATGTTGAGAGCTTTCCAAAGCAAAGAGCCTATGACAGCAAGGAAGGTGTCCAAAGCCAGTGACTCCTGGGGAAGAACAAAATAAGAAGAATTATTCCATCAGCTACCAAGAACTTATATTAAAATGGTAAGAGTAAGACAGTGTGGCATTTGCACAAGAATAGACCAACAAACCAATGTAACAGAATAGTCCAAAAATAGACCCATGCATATATAAAAACTTGATTTATCACAAAACACACATTGGAAATTAGTGCAGGAAAGATCAACTGTTCAGTAACCTGTGGTACTGAGATCACTGGCTAATTTTATTGGGGGGTGGGGTGGAATCATGGGAAAAAATTTAAATTAGATTTCTACCTCACACCAAACACAAAACTCAATTCCAGGGAGAATTAAAGATTTAAATATAAAAGTCAAACCATAAGATATTCAGAAGACAATATAGGTGCATGTTTTTATGACTTCATGGAAAGGATTTCTTAAGAATAGAAAAATACAACCTAGAAACACAAAAGAGTGATAAATCAACTAAATTAAAATTATAAACTTCTCTTCTTCAAAGGATACCACAGAAAGAGTAAAAAGACAACCCATGGACTAGGAAAAGATATTTCCAACATATCTAAATAACTAAAAAGGCTTAGTATACAGAATATGAGTATAGGTGTATACTCTTACAAATCAGGAAGAAAAATGTAAACAATCCAATGGTAAATGAGCAAAGACATGAAATGCATTTCAGTGCAGGATAGTCATAAATGCCTGTAAATACTGAAGAGGCACGACCTCATAAGCAGCCACAAAAATGCAAACTAGAGCCACAAGGTATGAAGTGATGACAAGGATGTGGAGCCAAAGGTGCCTGGTGCCTGTTCCTTGTATATTTATATTTTTACAATTTTAATTTCTGCAGGGTCTTTTTCTTTTTTTTTAAACAGAGTCTCACTCTGTCGCCCAGGCTAGAGTGCAGTGGCGTGATCTGATCTCGGCTCACTGCAACCTTCACCTCCCGGGTTCAAGCAATTCTCCTGCCTCAGCCTCCCAAGTAGCTGGGATTACAGGCTTGCATCACCATGCCAAACTAATTTTTGTATTTTTAGTAGAAACAAGGTTTCACTATGTTGGCCAGGCTGATCTCGAACTCCTGGTATCAAGTGATCCACCCGCCTCGGCCTCCCAAAATGCTAAGATTACAGGTGTGAGCCACCATACCCGGCCAGCAACTTTTTTTTTTTTAAGAATACTATCTATGGTGACTATTTCTAGCCCACCATGATAGCGAGTGTCTTCAAAGAGAGCTGCAGGCATGACCAACCTGCGTTCACTCTCATTCTAATCTTAAGATTTCATCCTTTCTACACAAACTCGGTGTGAACAGTCTGCAAACCGTGGTGAGAGCCCATTGGTGGGGTATGAAGTCTGAGAAGAGGTATACAATTTTTCCCACCACATCCAGTTCCCCCCACAATAGTTGTAGGGTCCTCTGGAGCCCAAATCTGGGGAGATTCTAGGCTTTATCTCCTATTTCCTCTACTCTAAGTGGCCGGAAAACTAATGCTCAGTATTGAACCAATACTGATTCAGCAAATGCATTCAAGGCAAAAGTCAGATTTGATGCACTGCTTTTTTTTTTTTTTTTTTTTTGAGATGGAGTCTTGCTCTGTTGCCCAGGCTGGAGTGCAGTGACACAATCTCAGCTAACTGCAAACTCCACCTCCTGGGCTCAAGCGATTCTCCCACCTCAGGCTCCCGAGCAGCTGGGACTACAAGTGTGTGCCACCATGTCTGCCTAATTTTGGCATTTTTTTTTTTTTTTAGAGACGGGGTCTTGCCATGTTGCCCCGGCAGGTCTCAAACTCCTGAGCTCAAGTGATCCACCTGCCTTGGCTTCCCAAAGTGTTGGGATTACAGGCTGAGCCACTGCGCCTAGCCAACACACTGCTTACTTCTAAGAGTTCCTGCTTTGATTCAGTTTTAGCCTCTGAGCATCCTTACCAAGTAGTCGACTCATTCATTCCATTTAAGGGCTAGTTTTTTATTGCACTCAGCATTTTTAATTGTTGCTAGCAGGAAGGTTAGTCAGATGTCTTAGACCACAGGACCACTGTATTGCCAGAATCTAAAGTCAAAAATCCGCTTTAAAACATAAAGCTAATTATGTCACTCTCCTGCTTTGAAACTTTCAATGCTTTTCTCATGATATACAGTGTAAATCTGAGCTCCTAAGTGCTCTTGACCCTGTTCAAGAGGCATAAGGGAAACTTCCCAGAGGAGAAAGAAAATGGAGGTTAAACTTGAACCAGCAGGAACAGAGAGAAAAGAGGAGAGCAGAGAAACAGCCAATGAATCCTAATTAACAAATCAAATGGGCAGGAGAATATTCAAGTCTAGTATGGAAAGAGCTCAACATTCAAGGGTCTGATCAACCATTAGAAGCTCAGTCAAGACTGCAGGGCATCAGGGGCTCTCAAAGCCAAGAGTGAAGAATCAGAGGGGTCTGTAAGAGATCAGGGACATTGGGAGCAGCATCTATCCAACCACGCAGAGGACAGTGGGTGCCCAAACCAAAGGGCCAATTAGGCAACCTGGTCACAGTAGGAGTTAGACTGAGGAGCTGCCTCTCCCTAATTCACAGGAGCCCAGAAGGCTCAAACAGATTTAAAATATACAAAGGAGGGCATGGGAGCAGCAGATCCTCCCAGACCCCTTGTTAGTCACAGGTACTCCTGGTCTGGCTCTCAAAAGCAAGGCCTTCCCAACTTTGTTACAGTCAGCTATGCTGAAGCCTTGGCTGGCAGAAACTGACAAGCCCCATAACACAGCTTTCCCCATCTGGCCCCAAACCATCTCTCCAGGCTCACCTCCCCTCTCACCCCATTCCATCTACCTCCCTACTGCAACAACACAGACACTGACAAGCAGCACTCTCTCCAGCCTTCCCTCTTCTACAGGCTGTTTCATCTTCCTGAATGACTTTGCCCCTCTTCTCTCCCCGGAAAATCCCTACTTATTCTTCAAAGCCCCCTCAAATGTTGCCTGATCAGGAGATTACTCTGATTCAAGCTGAGTTTGCTACCCTCCACTCCTATCGAGCACAGCCAACACATTATTATTTTATTATTATTACTATTATTGTCACCATCACATCCATCATTTATCAAGTGCTTGTCATGTGTCAGATACTGTATTAAATCCTTCACATGCATTTTTCCTTACCACTTATAGTTATTATCATTCTCCATTTTACTGAGGAGGAAACCAACGTTCACATCATTTCAAATATTGGCCTAAGGTCACATAGCTGCTAAAGGGATTTCAAACACAGTCTGTTCTTAACTCAAAAACTCATATTGTTTCCAGTAAAATATCACAATTCATTTATCTCTGTTGCCTCCAACAACAAATAAGTAACTTAAAAATAAAGATCACGTCTTCCTAATTTTTGTATAGCCTGCATAATACCTGGCATATAGATGATGCTCTCTAAAGATTTAATAAATAAATGAATAACAGACATTCATTCCATTTTCTCAGGAACTTGAATGACAACTGTAGCACAGAACCAGTAATACAATGTTGAGACTGTCTTTATGTCCCCTTTGGCTAGGGTCTACTGGATAGCTCGCATTATGGAGAATAAAGGACAGAGAGCACAAGACACTTAGGTAAAGATTCAGGTACAAGGAACCAGGCAAGTCAGCGCAGTGTCTTTTGAGTAAATGGGTTTAACCTAGGCAAACAAGTGGTTATTTTTAAAACAAGTGGTCTACTCCAACCTCTTTTCAAATAACTGGCTGTCTTTTTTTTTTTTCTTTTCAGACGGAGTCTTGCTCTGTCGCCCAGGATGGAGTGCAGTGGCGCAATCTCGGCTCACTGCAACCTCCATCTCCCAGGTTCAAGCTATTCTCCTGGCTCAGCCCCCGGGTAGCTGGGATTACAGGCACCTGCCACCACGCCTGGCTTATTTTTTGTATTTTTAATAGAGATGGGGTTTCACCATGTTGGCCAGGCTGGTCTTGAACTCCTGACCTCAGGTGATCCGCCCGCCTCAGCCTCCCAAACTGCTGGGATTACCGGCGTGCGCCACTGTGCCCGACCACAAC